>NC_000006.12:15969090-16120606 GCF_000001405.40 Homo sapiens
TAACAGGGAACTGGGAAAGGAATATGTGCAAGCTCTAGCTCCCCAATTTTGCTGTAAATCTAAAATCCTTTTAAGATGAAAGAGTTTTTAAGAATATAATTTTAAAAGTACCCTTTGATTATTTTCTCTAAGCACTGATCGTTCCACCTTGTGTTGAAAGGATTTATCTTTGCTTTCACTGGACTTTCTTGGCTTCCTTTTATCATAGCCTTAACCACAGGCTACAGTATAATTGTTGAAAAGGCACCCATGCCCTTGTCATGAGTCTGTGCCTCTAAGGCATTGCTGCCTACATGTTTGAGATTTCTTTGGCCAGACATGTCTTTATACGTCTATTCTAATTTGTGGTTCTCAGCCTTCCCTCTGCCAAGATAGCTCTGCGGAGTAGTTCTCCACCTGGGCAGCACATGGAAACAACCGGGAAAGTTTTACAAATCCTGTTGCCCAGGCCCCAGCCAGCTTCAGGTGATCCAATGTGCAACCCAGGTGGAGAACCACTGCTGTGTGCTCCTCCCCCATGGCTGTCCTCTGTGTTTCTGGGACTTCCTACCAGCCCCACTCACTCCAGTTCTGCTTTATACTCCTACTTTGGTAAGCTAGGTGATTTTTCATTTCAAAAACTTCAGTAAAGAGTTCTCTCCTTTATTTCTTGCAAACAGTTTTATCTCACAGCTACTCAAGAACAGAAGGGAGGCTTGGCGTGGTGGCACATGCCTGTGATCCTAGCACTTTGGGAGGCAGAGGGAGGGAGATTGCTTGAGCCCAGGAGTTCCAGACCAGCCGAGGTAACATGGTGAAACCCTGTCTATACAAAGATGAAAAAAAAAACAAAAACATTAGCCCAGTGTGGTGGCAGGCACCTATAGTCTCAGCTACCCAGGAGGCTGAGGTGGGAGGATCACTTGAGCCCAGGAGGTCAAAGCTACAGTGAGCTGTGATCGTTCCACTGCACTCCAGCATGAGCAACAGAGTAAGACCCTGTCTCAAAATAAAACAAAACCTAAAACCAAAAAACAGAAGGCAGAGAAGAGTGGCCACTGTAAAAGGTTGTTTATTTCCAGGGATAATATTAAAAAATGCATAACAAGCAGGACATTGACCAATCTGACCACCAGTGGGAGGTAAATAATTGGTAAGGGGCTTATTGGTTGAATACCAGCCCTGCTTATTCTTCCCCTACCTCTATTTAACCAGAGAACTTAAAGGAGGAGATATGGAGAGGGAAAGAGAAAATTCTTCATTCTTACTGTGCCTGCCATGCTGCGAGTAATGGAGACACTGAGGCACCCAAGAGACAAAACTAGAGTTCCCATCAGCTGCTCAGCCCCTCTCAGAACTTTGAGAAGGAAACAAGATGGAAGCTCCTCCACCTTGGATTAATTTGCTCAAGGTGTTCTCCTAAGATTATGACTTATACTCCTTGGAAATTTGTGTAATTGATGCCTTTGGAAAATATGTCCAAGACTCACCTTTCACTCTGTTCCGGAATGAAGGCTGAATCCAGAGAAGCTCACCCTGCTCCCTTCTCCAACGTGACACAGAATAAAGAGGGTCAGAGTACAGGTCTTTTATTGTTTTAACCTGAACCCTGGAAGCCAAAGCCTGCACAGGCTTATCTTCCACAAGTATGGGTCAATCACTTTGACCTATTGACTCTGCATCTGGTCAAGCACTCCAGAACGCCATGGACAGCTATAGGATTCCCCAATGAGCAAATGTTGACTTACCCTGTGGGTCTCCTGACACTATTATAAAGTCTATTCCATCAGAGACTAAGTTGTTAAAAAAATGAAGAACTTGGTTTTAGTTTATTGTCTGTTGTTCAAGGAGTATTTATGCAAAATTGCAATATTACTACTCCACATGAACCAATCAATATACTGCCACTTTCAAAAGTTAAAAGTGGGAAAAAAGATGGTCTTTGTTTTAGAATGTGCTAATATCTTATTCTTTTCTTTCAATTTTCTGTTATATGCTTAAGAAGCTCTTGTACTCTCCCTTAATTTTGCTATAAAATATTCTTTACATTAAATATTATAACAAAGACAAAAATTAATTTGGTCTGCATAATACCTTCTCTCTCAACCTAAGTGTCCCTCAACAGATGATTGGATAAAGAAAATGTGATATATATATGTATATATATAAATATATGTATATTTGACTTTCAATGTCCTTGTTATGCATACACACACACACTCACACAAACAAACCATGGAGTACTACTCAGCCATAAAAAAGAATGAAATCATGCCTTTTGCAGTAACACAGGTAGAACTGGAGGACATTATCCTAAGTGAAATGACTCAGAAACAGAAAGTCAAACACTGTGTGTTCTTACTTATAAATAGGAGCTAAATAATGTTTACAGATGAACATGGAGTACAGAATAATAGTTACTGGAGACTCTGAAAGGTGGGAGGGTCGGGGGGTGAGGGAAGAGAAATTACTTAATGGGTACAGTGTACATTATTCAGGTGAAGGTTACAGTGAAAGCCCAGACTTCATCACTACATAATATATCCATGTAACAAAACTACACTTGTACTTTTTACATTTATACAAATTAAAAAAAAGATTTCAAATGATTTTTAAATGAATTACATATATACCCTAACTTGTTTATTTTCTTTTTCCTTCCAATGTTTGAAAAAATGTTTTTGTATAATACAAACACATTTCCAACATTAAATATCCTTAAAACTTTAAAGTTGAAGACAAAAATATAATAACGATAAGCAAAGACAATGTTTGATCCAAATAACACATATTACATCTTTTAAATGAAGGTGTTTTTCATTCTGATTTGTGCAACTGGTTTACTAGGTTTTCCAGTATTTCTGCCGCTTGACTGTATCTGCTGACTAAAGTTAATTCTGTTAATGGTTATTATCCTATAGGTTTTTTTTTTTTGTAGTTTCTAAATTGGTTTAATTTGGAGAAAGAACATTTGCTGTAGATAAAATAACAATGAAAGAACATATTTTAGTAAAACTTACGTACATGCCACTCTATGTTATAATAAATGTTTCATCTGATTTTCAGATTGTTGTAATCTTTTCACTATCACTTGTTCATGAGTTTATGCAAAGCAGTAATACTTTGATAAATGATTCTTTACACACTCGAAAATTTTTTGTGCCTTCGGAGTGTTTATCATAATGAAACTTTTAAATAACTATTTTATTAAAGGCGAATTCAACTGAAGAATAGTTTTGCTTATGTTGAGTTGCATTTTGCAATATTGTCATGATAATGACTTGATGAGGCTTTGCTTTTCTGATTATTTTGAATTAGAAAATATTTGCTTATGTTTTCAAAAAGTTTTAAACTGCCCCTGAATCACTCTCTTTTAATAAAGTTTTTAAAAGCTGTTTTTATTAAAGTATGGTCCATACAGAAAATGCACAAATCGTAAGAGTACAGCTCAGTGAATTATAACAAATTGAATGCCCCAATGAACAACCATGAAGGTCAAGGTAAAAAATATTACCAGCACACCCAAATTTCTCATCGTGCCCATTCCAATGACTACATTCTCTTTCCTCAAAACTTCCCCTCTTCTGAAAAAACAAAACAAAACAACAACAACAAAAACCCACAACTGTCCTGACTTGTAACACTTTAGTTTTTTCTGTCTGTATTTTATATGAATGGAATCATACTATATAATCTCTTTCATGCCTGACTTCTTCACTGGACCTAATGTTTGTAAAATGCATTTGTATCACGAGTGTAGGTAATTGCATTTATTATCTTTATTTTAATTTCATTGTATGACTGTACCACAAGTAAGCTATCTATTCTACTATTGATAGACGTTTTGGTTATTTTCAGGTTGGGGCTTGTGATGGTTAATTTTATGTGTCAACTTGACTGAGCTATAGAGTACCCAGATATTTTGTTAAACACTATTCTGGGCATTCCTGGATGAGATTTACATTGCATCATTAGGCTGAGTAAAGCAGATTGCCCTCCCTAATGTGGGTGGCCCTCATGTAATCAGTTGAAGGCCTGAATAGAAAAAAAAGGCTGATCCTCCCCTGGCTAAGTGATAATTCCTCCTGCCTACTGGTCTTCAAATTGAGAGGTTGGCTTTTTCCTGCCTTTGGACTTGAACTGAAACATCGACTCTTCCTGGGTCTTGAGCCTGCCAACCTTTTAAGTGGAACTGCACCATTGGCTCTCTGGGTCTCAGGCCTTCAGACTCAGACTGGAACTTGCACCATTGGCTCTCCTGAGTCTCCAGCTTGCCTAGGGCGGATTTAGGACTTGTCAGCCTCCATAATTGCATGAGCCAATTTCTTATAATAAAACTCCTTCTATATATACAAATCCTATTGGTTCTATTTCTCTGGGGAACTCTGACTAATTCAGGGCTCTTATTAATAATAGTACTGTGAGCATTTTTTTTTTTTTCCAGACAGAGTCTCACTTTGTTGCATAGGCTGGAGTACAATGGTGTGACCTTGGCTCACTGCAACCTCCGCTTCCCGGGTTCAAGCAATCCTCCCACCTCAGCCTCCTGAGTAGCTGGGACTACAGGAGCATGCCAGCACACCTGGCTAATTTTTATATTTTTAGCAGAAATGGTTTTTCACCAGGTTGGCCAGGTTGGTCTCAGACTCCTGACCTCAGATGATCCACCCAACTTGGCCTCCCAGAGTGCTGGGATTACAGGTGTGAGCCACCACGTCCAGCCCTGTGAGCATTTTTGAACCTGTCTTTTGGTGTATTTGAGGCATTTTTCTTAGCTATATATCTAGGAGGGGAATATCTAGGTTAAAAGGTAAGCATAAGTTTGACTTTAATAGATACTAACAGTTTTCCAAAGTGGTTACACCAGCTCTTTTACCATCTCCACCTTGCTCACCAGGAGAGTACGAGCGTCTTCCTTGCTCCACATTCAGACCAGCTTTGTGTTGGTTTGGTTTGTCAGTCTTTCAAGTTTTATCCATTCTGTGAGGTGTGTACAGGTATTGCATTTTGAGTTTAATTTGCATTTGTCTGGTGACTAATGAGGTTGAGACATTTGTCTATCTCCTGTGAAGTGTCTGTTCAAATCTCATTTTCTGTTGGATTATCTTTACCTCGATATGTATAATAAATTTTAAAAACCACTTATGATTTCCTCTTCTCTAAATTTTTTAAATTCTTCACTTGTTAAAGGTAGTGTTTTTGTCTACTCATTATCAAAGATGAAAATTTTATCTCACCTATCTCTAGAATTCTCTTCCTCTACCTCAAAATTTGTGTTAGTTATAATTATTCCAGATTTTGTCTTAAAATTTTAAGTAATACACTTAAACTTTTGCTTTGTGATCAAATATAGAGTCTGTTGATTCTTCACTATAAAAAATAAGTCACCTAGAAAAGTCCTTGGCACATAGCAGGGCTTCAGCAAATACTTGCTGAAGAGAGGAAGATAAAGGATAAGAGAGTAGAAAGGAGGAGTACATCCATATTTTTCTCCCCCGTTCCTATGCATTTATGTCAGTAATATAATTTTGTTTATATTTTGAAGGTTTGTAAAATTTACATTTTGATCTATATTATGGTTTCCTTCCATGTTTTATCTATAGGCTGGTTTAAAAAATTCAAACTAATGAACAGTATATGATCATGTGATCACAGTGACATATTGTATCCCCCAAAATGGCTACAGCAGTATTTTCAGTCCCACATGAGCTTCCAAAGCCTTGCCACTCTCCCATCAAGAGCTGGAATCTATCTCCCCTTCCTTTGAGCCTCGGTGGGTTTCAGCTGACTACCTGGCTTAATAAAGTCCAGTGCCAGTGATGCTTTGTGACTTAGTCCAGATATAACAGGCAACATAGCTTCAGCCTGATTCTTTCTTGGAGAGCTGAGCCATGTCTGGCTACACTGAAGCTGCATGCTGGAAAGCCCACATGGTCATAGAGAGATGCCAAAGAATTCCCAGCTGTCCCAGCCCTCAGCTGTCCACCTCTCTTCTTCTTCCCAGTACGGGCACTAGACATGTGCACACAGAAGCCTTCAAGATGACTCTAGGACCAGCCTCCATTGAACTGCAACCTCACAAGAAACTTTGAGCCAGAACCATCACCCAGTTGAGCTACTCCCAAATTTCTTGCCCACAGAAACCATGAGAGAGAGTAAATGATTTTTGCCTTAAGCCATTAAGTTCTGAGGCAATGTGTTAGGTAGCAGTAGATAACTAGAACAATCACTTACTGTAAAACCAGTTAGCATGGTTGAACCCATAGAGGAAAATGAATATTGTTCTATTTTATTAAACTTGTGCCACTCACAGAAAAATATTTTAAACATCAAAATCAAATTAATGCTCTCTTCTTACTCTACTCAAAACTATGCCACATTTTCATTTATTTCATATCCGAAAACAATTGCTTTGTACAGCTTAAAAAATTTTTTTTTTCAGTTTTTATCTGGCTTTCTTTTTCTTTGTAAACAGGAAAGATAGTTGCTTTATATTTTGTATTAGATTCTACCTTCTTCTTGAAGGCATTCTTCACAGAGTTCTCTGACCTGTTCATACTGACTGCTACATAGCTGCTATCAAACTGGGATTTCATTTCAGTACTCTCTAGATTAGCACCTAGTATTTTTGGGTCTCTTTCTTGGATTCCTTTGTTCTATTAGAACATACACTAAGGGCTGGGCTTGGTGGCTCATGCCTGTAATCTCAGCACCTTGGGAGGCTGAGGCTGGAGGATTTCTTGAGGCCAGGAGTTTGAGACCAGCCTGGGCAACATAGCAAGACCCTGTCTGTAAAAAAATAAAATAAAATTCGCTGGGCATAGTGGTGCACACTTGTCCTAGCTACTCAGGAGGCTGAGGTGAGAGGATCACTTGTGCCCAAAAATTGGAGGCTGCAGGGAGCCATCATTGCACCAGTGCACTCCAGCCTGAGCAACAGAGCAAGACCTTATTTCTAAAAATAATTTTTTAAATTTAAAAATAAAAATAAATAAAAAATAACACTAATTTTTAAGGATGCATGAATCATAAAGTTTCTGAATCATTGCATATCTTGTAATCTTCTCAATTTTGCCCTCACTTTTCATTGCTTAGCCTCCAATCATCTAGTCCCCAGTCATTCTCCCTCAATATTTTAAAGACATGACTACACTGTCTACTAGCTTTCAGTGTTGCAGGACAAGGTCTATTGTCTATCTTATATTTGTTCTTTGGAGGTAATTTATTTTTCTCTCTGAAAAACTCTGGGATTTTCTCTTTAGCCTTAGTGTTCTAAAATTTATACAGACATGTCTAAGTATGGGCGACTGTCATTTTATTCAAATGCTTGACATTTGTTGGGCTTTTTCAATCTGAAGACCTGAGTCTTTTTTCAGAGCAAAGCAATTTTCTTTATTGTGTCTTGGATTACATTCTCCCTTGCATTGCTTCTAGAACTCCCTTAAGATAAACACTGGGCCTCTGTCTATTTTCACTGACGTAATTTTTCTTTTATATTTTTTTGCCTTTTTCTTTTTATATCTGGCCTTCTGGGAAATGCCTTTTATCAACCATGTCCCTAATTTGGTCTTCAGCTTTCATTCTATTTAGATTTATCATTGATTTTAAAAAGAATTTGACCATCATTTTAAATTTGCAATAAATTTTTCTTGTTCTCTAATTGATCCCCTTTGCCTTCAAAGCAGCCAGTGCTTGTTTTATAGATGCAATAGCCTCTCAAATCTCTCTGAGGATAAACATCAGTTTAATCTTATTGTTTTTTCTGTTTCTTCAGAAATGATCGGTGTTCAGCTCCATATTTCTCTTGCCTCTCATTCATCAAATGCCTGGAGATCCTTTCTCAATCGTTCATATGTATAATTGAAGAATTCTGTTGATTACATAGGTCATATAAGATGTATTGCATGAAGAGCTGTGTTTATTTGAAAGGCCATTTTCTGAATGGGAAGGCTGATCATGATTCTGTGTAAGTGGATGGCTCTGCCACAGTCAAGCTTTATCTAGCCAGCAAGTTCAGTGCTATTACAATTGCCCAAAGGGGAAGGACTTTATCTATATGCAGGGTGGAACTACACTTTGGACTGGAGCTGGGTTTCTGTTTATTGTAGAGGCTCTAAAGCCTTTCAGGCTGGACAATACTTCTGTCGCCACTCAAGCCCCAAGTCCCTCCTATAGAGAGTCTACTTTCTACAGAATATACTCATTGGTGCTCCAGCTGTGGGTAAATAGCTTCTCTATACATGGAGTGGGGAGGGTGGGCCTGGCTGGCCCAGCTGTTCTGTGGTTTATCTCTTCTGTGGTTACCTACCCTGATCACTGCTCCAGGTCCATGTTTGTTCTTTTTTACTCATTGGCTCCAAGCTTCGAGCCTCTCTAGGCAAGGACTATGAGTGAAGCCACCTCACTTGCATGTTGATGGCTTGTATATCACTCTGCTTTGTTATATCGATATGGATCATATGCTTTCTGACTCCCGGAAATTTATCCAAGTTATTAAAATTTCTGCTCATGACACTCTGTTTCAGCATTCTAATAGACTTATTCATCCTTTAGATATCTTTATTCTCATTTCAATAGGATCTTGGAAGAAAGAGTAGGCAAATATGCATGCTCTGTGTGCCTTGTTGAGCTGGGATAGTCCAAAAAAGTCCTCAATTTTTAAATTACCTAAAAATATTTTATTTAGGCAATAAAGCATTTCTACATTTCCCTAAATCAGAGAAGACAGAATTATGTTACTGTTTCTAATGGAAAAATTGTGGATTCAAAAATCAGAAGAATCATCTTGTCCACTATTGATATGGTTTGGACTTGTGTCCCCATCCAAATCTCATGTCGAATTGTAATTCCCCAATGTTGCAGGAGGGGCCCGGTGGGAGGTGATTGGATCAGGGAGGTGGATTTCTCCCTTGCTGTTCTCATGATAGTGAGTGAGTTCTTACAAAATCTGGTTGTTTAAAAGTGTGTGGCACCTCCCTCTTTGCTCTCTTCCTCCTGCTTCAGACATGTAGGATGTGCCTGCTTCCCTTTTGTCTTCCATCATGATTGTAAGGTTCCTGAGGCCTCCCCAGCCATACTTCCTGTACAGCCTACAGAACTGTGAGTCAGTTAAACCCCTTTTTTTTCCTTGATAAATTAACCAGTCTCAGGTAGTTCTTTACAGCAATGAGAGAACGAACTATTACAAAAATCATCTTTCTAACAATTAGAGTAGCATAGTTATTTAAGGCTTGGTCTTTGAGTCAGACAACCTAGAATAGATTCTTGGTTACTTTACTTACTAGCTAGGTGACAATGGGCAATTACTTGAACTCTCTTGGCCTCAGTTTTCTCATATGTAAAATAGAGATTATGATACCTTCCTTGCAGGGTGTTATAAAGATCAGAGTACTCAACAGAGTACCTGGCATGAAATAATCTAATAGTAGCAGTAGCAGCAGCTGCTGCAATACTAGCACTATCATCCCAGTTATGAGACATTCTCCCTGTAATTATTCTACCTTCTCCTTGATATTATTGTTCTAATTCACCAGAGCTATAAGACCTTTATGGGTTTCAGTTTTGTTTGGATGACCTTCAATCCCAGCCTCTGCTTTAATTTCCAGATTGCAGAAAGTATGGCAAAGATAAAGGAGTACAAATTAAATACAGATGATGGAACAGCATAAATATAATAATAATGCCCAGTGTTAAACAGCAAAGATTTTCCAGCATTTTTCTCACTTGTTCTTGCAAAATATTATGATGTATGTAGTTTAGGTATTTACTGGACATTTATCCAATAAACTTTTTTGAGCAAGTTAACTTTCTGGGCACCTGTTGTTGTAGGGGAGAGCAATTGTTTTCCCAATTAACACAGGATTTTTAAAAGACACATTTAAATCAAATATATTTCTGACAATACAGGGGCCCATGTTCTAAATGATAGAGATACTCAGTTTTAAGAGCTGGCAGGTGTGCCTTGGAAACCGGAGAGTTGAAAAGCACTGCCCTAAGCTAAGAGTTTCTTTTCAACAATCTCTTTCTTTTAAAAATGGGGCAGTCCAACACAGAATTTCGATATATAAAATAGACAAAGGAGGGGCTGCTCTGGTTGAAAAGGGGGTTTGGGGACCTGGAATCTGCCCACTGGGTATCCCCTTTCCCTTCAGCAGCTGCCAGTGGGAAGGCTGCAGAACCACATCTTTATCCCTCTAGAGCAGTGATCCCCAAGCCCCGGCCATGGACCAGAACCGGGCCTCACAGCAGGAGGTGAGTGGCACACGGGTGGGCATTACTCCCTGAGCTCTGCCTCCTCTCAGATCAGCGGCGGCATTAGATTCTCATAGGAGTGCAAACCCTATTGTGAACTCTGCATCCAAGGGATCTAGGCTGTGCTCTCCTTATGAGAATCTAACTAATAATGGCTTATGATCATAGGTGGAACAGTTTCATCCCCAAACCACCCCCCATATGGAAAAATTGTCTTCCATGAAACTGGCCCCTAGGGACAAAAAAGTTGGGGACCACTGCTCTAGAGTTCTGAGGAGCAGCATTTGAAAACCATTGATCTGACTTATTCCAAGGACGAGTTCTCCAGTTTCCATCAAAAAGCTACTAGATTTAAGTGTCTTCTTTATGTGCCAGACGAATGTCTACAATAGTTTTCTTTTTTTTTTGAGACGGAGTCTCATCCTGTGGCCAGGCTGGAGTGCAGTGGCACGATCTCGGTTCACCGCAATCTTTGTCTACCGGGTTCAAGCGATTCTCTTGCCTCAGCCTCCTGAGTAGCTGGGACTATAGGCATGCGCCACCACACCTGGCTAATTTTTGTATTTTTAGTAGAGATGGGGCTTCACCATGTTGGCCAGGACGGTCTTGATCTCCTGACCTCGTGATCCGCCTGCCCTGGCCTCTCAAAGTGCTGGGATTACAGGTGTGAGCCACTGTACCCGGCCCTACAATAGCTTTAATCTTCCTAATTACCACTCCTGGAAGACATTACTATTCTGTTTAGTATAATGTAAAGAAATCATAGTTCAAAGAGGTGGGTATCTTACCCAAAGTTCCACAGCTCATAAACAGAGGATTGGGCTTTTCACTCACATATGTCTGACTCCAAATTCTTTGTCTTTCTATTGCCTCAAAATGAATGAGAAAATCTCTAAGCTCCTTTCTGGCAATACAGTTCTACAATTTCAAAGTACTTTTTAAAGAGAGGACTATAAAGCATTGATCAAAACATACACACTTCCAGACGCAGCAGCTCATGCCTGTAATCCCAGCACTTTGGGAGGCTGAGGTGGGAGGATCACCTGAGGTCAGGAGTACAAGACCAGCCTGGCCAACATGGTGAAACCCCATCTCTACTAAAAATACAAAAGCTAGCGGGCGTAGTGGCAGGTGCTGGTAATCCCAGCTACTCATGGGGCTGAGGCAGGGAGAATTGCTTGAACCTGGGAGACAGAGAGTTACAGTGAGCCGAGATCATACTATTGCACTCCAGCCTGGGTGACAGAGTGAGACTCCATCTCAAAAACAAAACAAAACAAAACAAAAACCATACACACTGAGCCAAAACTGAGATAGAGAAGGGAATCTACTAACAAAAAAAAAAAAAAAAAAAAAAGAGAGATTGAGAAAGAAAATTTGAGTGCAGCCAGGGATGGCTTTTGACTAGTCCATTTTCTAAAATCATTGGCTCTTTCTAAATTTATTGTAGAGAGAAATATTTTTTTAGATGCTTCCCTCCCAGGTAGTTTTGCTTGGTTCCATCATTCTCAATAGAAACCCTGGTTACTTACTCTGCTGTTCATGGCCATTGGGGTCCTGTTTAGTTTGTGATGATCTCCTTCTAGACCTGTTCTGTCAGTGATTCTGTTGCTGAATTTCCTGGTCTCTCACTACGTGCATCGTACTGCACTAAGTGCCAGAGGCAGAATCCCCGCCCTTAAGGCAGGTATACACAGGTTAGAACAAGAGAGACATATTTGGGAAGATAACAAGGAAGTCATACTGCACATGTCAGTGAGAATCACAGAAAAGAGTATTCTCGAATGCAGATGTGGGAGTGGTCACTGTGCTCTTGTCCAGTTAGGAAAGGCTTTGGGGAGGAAGAAGAGCTTGAACTGAGGCTCCAGGATAGATGGAACTTCAAGTAAGAGAGGAGAGGTGAGGTTAATTCCAGATAGAGAAACAGGCAATGGGTAGAATGATTTGGCTGGAGAAGAGGGCTTACGTCTGCCAGCACCGTTATCTATTAGCAATACCGAAGACTCTTTCTGTCCACCCCACTTCACCACAGGAAAATAGGCCCAGTAAAAGCAACTTATTCCATATGAGCTAATCCTGAGTCTGAAAAAATAAAAATAGTGTCTCATCAAAAGGGAGAAGATATCACTTCTACATATGTCTTCCCTTGTGTCAGCACCTTGGGGCAGGAATTCTGTAGATCTAAATCCTTATGAAATAAAACTCTGGGTCAGGATTGTATTAGTTTTCTGGGGTGGTCATAGCAAAGTACCACAAACTGGGTGGCTTAAAACAACAGACATTTATTCTCTCACAGTCTGGAGTCTAGATGTCTGAAATCAGGGTGTTGGCAGGGCCACACTCCCTCTGTCACCGGCAGGGGAGAATCCTTCCTTGTGTCCTCTGGCTCTGGTGTCTTACTGGCAGACCTTGGCATTCCTTGTCTTTGCATCTACAGCACTCCAATTGCTGCCTTTGTGGACCCATGGCTGTCCTCTCCCTGTGTGTCTCTCTCCACTTCTTCTTTTTTTTTTTTTTTTTTTTGAGACAGAGTCTTGCTCTATCACCCAGGCTGGAGTACAGTGGTGTAATCTTGGCTCACTGCAACCTCCGCCTCCTGGGTTCAAGCGATTCTCATGTCTCAGCCTCCTGAGTAGCTGGGATTACAGACATGAACCACCATGCCTGGCTAATTTTTTTTTTTTTTGGAGAGACGGGGTTTTGCCATGTTGCCCAGGCTGGTCTTGAACTCCTGAGCTCAGTCGATCCACCTGCCTCGGCCTCCCAAAGTGCTAGGATTACAGGCGTGAACCACCGCGCCCAGCCAGTCTCTCTCCACTTCTTACAATAACACCAGTCCCATTGGATTAGGAGTCTACCCTGCTCCAGGATGGACCCAGCTAGTTACGTCTGCAATGACCCTGCTTCCAAATGAGGTCACGTTCTGAGGTACAGAGCATTAGGACTTCAACGCATCTTTTGTAGGGTGATATAGTTTGAGTATTTGTCACCTCCAAATCTCATGTTAACATGTGATCTGCATTGTTGAAGGTCAGCCCAGTGGGAGGCATTTGGGTGATGAAGGTAGATCCCTCATGAATGATTTGGTGCCGTTCTTGCAGCAATGCGTGAGTTCTCACTCTGTTAGTTCATGTGAGAGTGGGATGTTTAAAGGAGCACAGCTCCTCTCTCTCGCTCCCTCTTTCATCATGTGACATGCCTGCTTCTCCTTTACCTTGTGCCACAAGTGTAAGCTTCCTGAGGCCTCACCAGAAGCAAATGAGGCACCATGCTTCCTGTACAGTCTGCAGAACCGTTAGCCAAATAATACCTTTTCTTTATAAGTTACCCAGCCTCAGGTGTTTCTTTATAGCAACTCAAAATGGACTAATACAGGGGGATGCTAGTCAACCCATCACAGGAATAAATAGGATGATTACAGGACCTGAGGAGGAGGGTTTTGGCTGGGGAGGAGAGGGCAGTGAGATTTTGAAGACCAGTTAGCATCTACCTTAGAGACTGGTCTTCTGGATGCCCCCTCTTGCCCCTATGAACTTCTGTTTGACCTCTTGAAGAGTGTTTTTCAAGTGAAACTATGAATGATTTCCTCACAAATTTCTGTGAAACTTTGGGGTCATGAGTCAATGAATGAAGCATAAAAGCTGGGAGAAAGAGAGGAAGGGAGAAGGGAGAGAAGAGGAGAGAAGCAACTTTCAAGAAGCTAGGAGCGCTTGTTTGGAGGATACTCAAGAGTGTCACTAGTAGGACTCTGTGGCCACAGAGCAAGATGGAGACTTTAGGCAGACTCCAATCCCATATCACTTGAAGCCTCATAAGATCTGGCCCAGGAAATTGGGAAGAAGCTGGAAAGAGTACACAATTCAATTCATAAGAAGGAGAATATTTGAAAAAATTTCACTTTCACTTGGAGTAAGAGTAACAGACTTCTGCCACAATACTAGATGACATTTTCTGAAGCTGGGTCAACTTGAATCCAAAGGGAAAGAAGCAAAATCAGTCCTGACAGAACGATGCCTTATTATCAGGGTGTTCATCAAAAGAGCTTAGTAAGAAAATTATCCTGAACATCTGCAGATATGCGTCCTGGTCAAAAATTTCTAGTGGATAAAAAACATGAACTCACTTAAGGCATACAATAATAGTTTTTAGAAATATTAGAGGGTCTTTGTGGGAAGGTCCCATAATTGCTATGCAGAAATGAGCCTGTGAAAGACAACCTGTATGTCTCAGCCCCTGGGCACTGAGCTCCTCAAGCATCTCTGCTTTGCCTGCCATGGTATTTGGAGCATGATAGGTCCTTATTGCTTGTCAAATACATGAACTCTAACTTCAATAAAAATAAAGCAGAGTGTATGCAGAAAGGCAACAAAATAAGAAAAATTAGTTTACTAATTTTTTACTCAGCAGAAAATGCTATGCCTGGTGCTTCATCCACAAACATAGATAGTTATTGGATTATCTATGTGGATGAAGATAGATATTGGATAGATATTGGATTATCTATGTGGATATTGGATAATCCAATATCTATGTGGATATTGGATAATCCAGTATCTATGTGGATATTGGATAATCCAGTATCTATGTGGATATTGGATAATCCAGTATCTATGTGGATATTGGATAATCCAGTATCTATGTGGATATTGGATAATCCAGTATCTATGTGGATATTGGATAATCCAGTATCTATGTGGATATTGGATAATCCAGTATCTATGTGGATATTGGATAATCCAGTATCTATGTGGATATTGGATAATCCAGTATCTATGTGGATATTGGATAATCCAGTATCTATGTGGATATTGGATTATCCAGTATCTATGTGGATATTGGATAATCCAGTATCTATGTGGATATTGGATAATCCAGTATCTATGTGGATATTGGATAATCCAGTATCTATGTGGATATTGGATAATCCAGTATCTATGTGGATATTGGATTATCCAGTATCTATGTGGATATTGGATTATCCAGTATCTATGTGGATATTGGATAATCCAGTATCTATGTGGATATTGGATCCAATACGTGGATCCAATACGTGGATCCAATATGTGGATCCAATACGTGGATCCAATATGTGGATATTGGATCCACATAGATATTGGATCCAGTATGTGGATATTGGATCCACATAGATATTGGATATCCAATATCTATGTGGATATTGGATTATCTATGTGGATGAAGACTGGTGCTATTGACCTTACATTAATAATAATTATTGACCTTACATTAAGAATGTCATAAGAATGAATAGGAAGACAAATAGAACAAAATTAAAAGTCCACAAAGTGACACAAGAACACCTTTGCACAATAAAGATGATATCTCAAATAACTGGGGAAAGTTAGACTTCTTAACAAAATGTATTGGGACAACTAAAAAGTCATTTGGAAAAATATAAAATTGTATCCAAACTTCACATAATACCAAGAAAAACCCCAAATGGATTAGCAGTCTTGATGTACAATTGAACTTGTTCATTTTTCCAAGAAAACTTGGGTGAATTTCCAACCTAGCAGTTGGAAAGCCTTTCTGTGACTCAGTATTCAGAAGAAATAAATAAATAAATCAATATACCTGTCCAAGTATAAATAAAACCTTTTTTTGTGACAAAATAGACCACAAGCAGAGTCAAAAGAGAAATGAAAGACTGGGAGAAATTTTTGAACTTATATCAGTAAGGACTAAGCTCCCTAATGGTTGAAGCACTCTAAAAAAATCAAGAAGAACAACAAAACTAATTAAAAAATACGGGCAAAATGCATGAATAGAGAATTCACAGGATAAAAAAGGAAATGGCTTTTAAACATGAAAAAAATAATCAACCAGGCTTACAAGAGAGATTCAGACTAAAATATACTGAGATATTATTCACCTACAGATTGGTGAATACTCCAAGAGTTGAACAATGCGTTCTGCTGGCTGGACTTGGAGCCTCTGGCACTTCACGCATTGCAGGTGGGAGAGCAAAATGCTGCAACCTCTGTGGAGGGGAATTTAGCAACAATTACCAGAATTACATACATATTTATCCTTTGATGCAGCTTCTAGGAAGCCCCCTAAAATACATCTCTGCCAGTACAAAACAAGTTTGCTCGACTCCATTAATTGCAGAATTATTTGAAATAGCAAAGGATTGGAAATACAAATGCCTATCAGTGAGGCATAAGCAAATACTAAGGCACTAGTACACAATGGAGTCCTCAGCCACATGAAAAGAATGAGGAAGAGTTGGGTAAACAGAGTGTTCTCCAGGATACACCGCTAAGTGGAAAAAGGTGGGAAACAGTGATACGGTGTGCTGTATTTGCATATGAAAGCAGAGAAAATAAGCATGTAAATATGCACATATAAATATATTACTTATGCATGCATATATGAATATGTTTCTATGTATATGTTGTGGTTCTTTTGTAGAAAGAAACACTGGAAGAATAAACCAGAAACTGTAGTCACCTATAACAGATGTGGGAGATGTGGGGCTGAGGTAATAGGAACAAAAGTGAGACATCTCTGAGAAAACTTTTTTATATAGTTTTGATTTTGAACCACAAAAATGTACTATACCTTAAAAAAATAATGAAGCATAAAAGAAGAAGAAAATGACCATGCTAACTAGATCTTTAGACAACCATCAGAAATCAGGGAGATTTCTGAGTCAAACTTTTCTCCAAAAACTTATTACCACCACCCAACCCCTGTGGCACCCAGCAAATTCTGGAAAGATTGATAAAAATGGAGAATGAGAGCTAAGCCTGGGTGCCCAACGACAGGCTCACAGCCAGCTCTGGGGATCGCCTGAGAAGCAGGATGGTAAAGATTGCAGGCTCCAGAGACAGGCAGACTTGGGTTAAACTGGCCACTCACCTCCCTGAGAGGTGAGCTTAAGAAAGCAACTAGACCTCTCTGGGCCTGTTTCCTCCTCTGTAAAGGAGCACAGTAACACCTTCCATGCTAGGTACTATAAAGCTGAAATGAAATAGTACATAGTCTAGTACCTGGCCTGTGGAAAATTAGTCTCATCCAACCTTGTTGTAGAAGGACCTACCAATTCCAGGAACAAGAGGTGACCATGTCAGGTGACCTAGACTTCGGGAAGGAGAGGGGCTCAGGCAGGAAGCACACTTTTCTTTGTGGCGTATCTAGCTCTTTAGGTTCTCCTAGACTTGAGGGCAGTAGAAACAGAGAGGTCCCAGAGAGGGCATGGACGGGCATTTCCAAGGGGTGTGCTGTGCAGTGGGCCCCACAAACATTTGCCTAGGACCCAGAATTTAAACCACTGTCTGCTTCCTTTTCCTTTTCAGTATGGTTTCCCTTCTTCTCCAGAATTCTCTAGAAACTGCGGTGAAGGAATTTAAATTACTTTGTTTTCTTTTTATTTTTGTCAAAGAAAAATGATTCCATGAAGAAATGAGCTTTGAAAAATGCCTGCAGGAGATTGTTAAATATTTGAGCTCAGTGTGGCTGTTATTGGGGACCAGAACTGGAATTATTTTTTTCATTAATGTAATTTTGTCTCCGGAAGAAGCAGAGACACAGAGGCACCTCTGGGTTCCTGAGACTGTCAAAGATGTCTGCAATTGAAGTACAACAAGGAATGGGCGGGGACACGGCAGGAAGCAAGAGGTAGCCCTTGGGTCTGGGTTCCAAACTCACTTCCAATAGATACTGATCTGGGTGTGTGACACTTTATTTCTAAGTCTGACTGATTAAGGTGAAAAAATAACAAAACTATAATGTTTAGGTAAACCAGTCTTAAAATCATATTCATTCATTCATTCATTCTATTTGTTATATAAACATATATTGAGTACCTGTTACACCAGCATGCATTCTAGCTGGGGAAGGTAGAGCCCACGAGACCTGATTAAGATAGCTGCTGTGGTTGAGAGGAGAACTAAAACAAAAATCAGGATGGGTTCTTGGGTTTGGAAGGAATCTTAGAGGTCATCTCACATTACCCTTCATGTTGCAGATCAAGAAACTGGGACCCAGGGCAGTCCCACCCAAAACCATCCAGTTAATTAAGGGCAGAATCTCCTAACTCCAAGTCCAGCACAATCTTCATCACAAGCTGCTGGTTCAGAGAACAACTAGCAAGTGCATGAAAGAGAGAAAAAAGCCTAGAAAATATTTAGTTGGTAAAATATTTATTTATTTATTTATTTATTTGGTGAGTTGATGACTTAATTTTCCTCCTCAAAATTCTGGAAGAGAATTCCTGGAGGGCGGGTGCTGGGCAGGTAGGGAAAATGTATTTAATTAATCGTTTCATAATTCACTCACAATTATGGGCTTCTTGGGATAACATCCATTAAGATCCTGAAGGAAGGCTTCGCTGTGCTGATGGAGGATGAGTCACCTTACTATCTTACATACTGGTTTGCTCTTCAAAATATGTGCCTTTGAATAAAAGGGCCTCGCTATCGCGGCTGAACTTGGATTCACTTTGTCTCTATGGCAACCACAGCAAATCCCCACAAGTCACAGGAAAAGGGCACTTGACATCTTGAAGCACAACAGACAGACCCTTTATATCACAGCCATTCCTCTCACTGCTAGAAGGTAGAATAAAGGGAGAAGCCACCATCAAACACGCATTCCAGAGCTGCAGAATCAAAACCTTTCTGCACCCAGCCTGATTGTTTAAGCTGTTGCTGAGTTCAAGAGTCATTCATGAATATCGCTACTTAACAAGTGACAACTTCAACTTGCTCTCTGATAGTCTCCTCAACTACCCTGACCCCAAACACTTGCAGAGTTGGACCTAGTTATAATTTACATATATGAGAAATTGATTTGGCTGCATAAGACAGACGAGCTAAATGAACAGTGGCTGAAACCTACAAGGTTGTATTCCTTCACACAGAAAGTCGAGAGGAAGGCAGCCCAGTGCACCTATGGCTTTCAACAAAGCCTTTAAAAAAACAAGAATCCTTCCAGGAAACGACTCCACTCTCTTCCTCATGGTCCCAAAGCCATCACAGCCTCATTTCAGGTAGAGAGAAGGGAGGGATGATGAAGAAGGAGCAATGTGTGTATGCTCTCTTTTAAAGAGGTTTTACTGAAGTTGCCATACAGCTCATTGACGAGTACTTAAATTACTTTGTTATACATGGTTTCGGAAGAGGTAGAGAAATACAGTTTTTATTCCTGATAGTCTTGTGGTTCTTTAAAAAGCAGGGGTTCTATTGTAAGGATGGAAGGATGGAAGGGGTCATAGATACATAGATACTTAGGTAGCCCACAGTCCTAGTACCCTTGAAGACCTGAACTAACCCCTTGATGCCTCTTGGTTCAAACTATAGCTCAATTTTGGCTCCCAGCTCTAGTCCATAAGCCCATTGGTTGAAATGGTCTTGTTGTAATTATGGGCCAATGATCCTAAGGTTGCAATATTTGTGGAGGTGTTACCCCTTGGTGTAGAAGAAGTTATATAATGAAGTTATCAGGCAGAGGGATATGGAGGCCTCTATGGCCTGGCTTGGTGCTGGCTGGACCTTGTGGGGGGACATGTTCCCTGGAGGATGTGGGCTCCTGAGCTCAGCATTTTGAAGAGAAGCATGGTCAGGCTGGGGAATAACTGGACATAATATGAAGCAGAGAGATGTCATCTCCACCCTTGTGGACACAATGACTGCTAAAAGTCCAAGCTTGGGTGCAAGCTATGGGGTGGAGGGAGGCTGAGAAAGCTGGAGCCAGCACCTGGGGGCCTCAGCAGCCACAGAGCCTCAGGTGCATGAGAGGTTGGATTCAGGCATAGCGTTTTCTGCTGAGTTATTTATGGGAAAACCTCACTTGTCTCTTTCCAGGATTATAGAGGGTCATATTTTCAGGGAGCCTGGACTTATTGCTTCAATGAAGGAAGGCCATAACAGAACAATTTAGATTCAGAATATCACTTTTTCACTTCTGAGGTTCAAAAGAAACTTTCAAACTCCCAGAAGATATAATGAGTTGTCAGAAAGGGATTTTGTGTCTGAAGGCCTGGCTCTTGGGTATTAAAAGCAAATATTTCTGCCATAAGTGACAGATTTGGGGAAAATCCTTGATTATAAGGATGTAAGAGCCAATTTGTCTCAGCCCATAAGTTTTGAGTCTATCTGGGGACAGGAAGAAGAGTCAGGGAAGAGAACAACAGAGAAACACAGTGATGGGGATCTGTATTCTGCTGCCTCAGTCTCAGTCTGGAAGGAAAGGTGTCAGGGAAGCCCCAGACTGGTTGGGGATTTTGTGCTCTGAATTTCCCTTGGGGCTCTGAGTGGAACTAAGAACACCTAATGTCTCCTGCTCCACTGTGACATAGGCAAAGAAAGAAGAGATGACAGCATGGGAGATGGGTTTGAGGTGGTGTTACATGAACCCTATGCAAACCACCAATTGTGCTGATGGAGATCAGAATATGCCACCCGAAAATATGCCATGTTGGCATAAGGATTATTTCGAGTTGAAGGAAAATGGAAAATGGCAGATGCAGGAAAAGCTCTCTACCCTTCCCCTTTCTGCCTAAAAGCAGAGCATAAATTTCCCTCTGTCAAGGTGTTGCCACTCTCCTCTCCCATAAAGAAAGAGAACTCTTATCACAGGGGATGGTGCCAGCTCAAATCTGCATAAACAAACCTTACTGAAATAACCCGGATCTTCCATTTGTTTCCTCTCATATGTTTGCCTTCCCACAATTTGTCACCCTGAAGCCCTAGACCTCTCCCTTTGTCTTGTCACTTCTCCACAAATGTACTGCTCTTTGTTAAAATGGTCTATAAGCTCTGAGGCCTCACAGCTTCTTTGGGTTTTCACTTTCTTTTCTGTGAGAGTGCTATGAACACATAACAAAAATTAAAATACTAATGTCAAATTAAATATGTATGCTTTTTTTTCTGTTGATCTGTCTTTTGCCAGTTTAATTTGCAGGGCCCCAGTCACTGAACATAAGAGGGTAAAGGAAACAGGTTTCCCCTCCCCTATAGGAACAAGGGCAGCAGTTGTTTTCTCAAAGGTCCTAGAGATTGGTAAAAGCAAGAGGTTGAGTGACAGAGTGTGTGAGCACAGTGCAGCGGGGCAAAGGGACACATCACAGTCAGCAAATGTGGGTAGACTAGCACACGATGGCATTTACACAAGCCCACACTGCCTTGATTTTTCATCAACTTCTCAGAATTTAGATGGTACCCTGAGGAGTGGGAGGAACAATTTCTGAATGGACAGAATTTAAAGCTAAAAGGGCCAAGAATACTGAATTAATCAGATCGAGTCATTTCTGCCATCAGAAAACATACAGGCTCAAGACAAACACTCAATTCAGGACAAAACAAAGAATGCCCCATATTTGGTACTCCTGAGTTAAGAGCACGAGAAATTTGAATTTGCTACAGAATTGTATATCATCTAGCTTATTAAAAAACACTGGGCTTTACATCTATCTGAATGAAACAGTAAAAGGAAGATGCTATTATTTCTGACAGGGTCAAACACTATTCAATCAGGTATTATTCATATTTACAAATAAACAATTGCATAAAAACCTAATGAAACAAGGATCCTCTAAGGAGGAAATAGTTGACTTATCAAGGACTGCCCAAGAGGAGAGGTCCTTCACTGCTAGACCTTCACTATCTTCCAGCAAACCCTAAAATCTCAGGGGTTGTTCTCCAAGACAGGTTCTGCTCTGCTTCTTCTCTGCTCAGCAGCTCCCAGAAGCTCCCACAATTTTATTCTGCCTCGCCCTTCATGACATTCTCTGGGGAAGCTGGGTGCCATTGCTCTAGGATAATTACGCGCAAAGTACTGGATGGAGAGTCTTAGCAGTGGTGCTCTTGCATGTGTGTTTTATCACCTCCTCCCTTCATTGAATTTCATTCTTTAGCCATGAAAAAGAAGCTATCTGTGAATGCCTTCAGTGGACATGACCAGATGGTCTCCCCTGGGTCTGTTAGGTTCCTGTCTCTGGTCACTTCATTGGGAATGATTCCCTTCTGGCTGTCAAGTTTGGGCTCATTATATCACCTCTCTTAACTTCGACTTTCTCATGCATATAACTTGGATATTCACTTTCCACACAGAAATGTTTAGGAGTCAATATCAATCTCTTTGCCTGGCACATAGTGGGTGCTCATTAGTGTTTCTTCCCTTTCTTTTTTTTTGAAACAGGGTCTCACTCTGTCACCTAGGCTGGAGTGCAGTGGCATGATCATAGCTCACTGTAGCCTTGAACTCTTGGCCTCAAGTGATCCTCCTGCCTCAGCCTCCTGAGTAGCTAGAATGACAAGTAGTCACCTCCTTATGATTTCCAGATTTCTGTGTGTTTGTCTACATCTTCTTTTTTATTTTTCGTAGAGACAGCATCTTACTATGTTGCCCAGGCTGGTCTTGAACTCCTAGGCTCAAGCGATCCTCCCTCCTCAGCCTCCCAAAGTGCTGGGATTATAGGAGTGAGCTGCTGCATCCAGGTTCTTCCCTTTCTTGATACCTTTTCTGGAGTGAAGAATGTCTGAGCATTTCTTCACACCCAGCTTGTATTGGAATGTTTGAATAGAATTTGCTGAACGTCTTCTGTAACCAGTGCCACATTTTGAGGCCATCTACAAAACCGTGTACTCATACTTCACTCTTTATTTTTAACAGATCTGAACATCTATTTAGTAGGAATACTGGGAAAACTTGATTTTCTCAAAGGGAAAAGTGATTTTGTCAGTTGGATAAGTGTGTCCAAACAATAGGAAATCTACCTGACATACATGAGCCCACTCTTTCTATGGTAAGTATTTAATTATGTTAGACAAAGACCTGAGAACTGTTGCTAAGTTCCCAGTGGATGCTAAAAATAGGTAGGATACTGTGGTTTCCTTATCTGAACAGGGGCGAGGAGACTTTAAAAATGTCTAGTTAAGGGCCATTCATAGTCAATCAAGGTTTATTTAAATAAATAGCAATTAAATGTAGAGCATTTATACAAAAATAGAGGAAAAATAGAAATCATGTTCTATATTGGCTATTAAGATAAACAACAGAACATAAAACTCTACTAAACAAATACAGTGAAAAATAAAACCATATACTGCAAAATTTTGATTACTGGAGCTCTTTAGAAAGGAGCTGATCATTGACTTTTCTGTATGGCTCAGGGTTTATATCTTTAAGAAGTGATTTTTTTAAAGACTTCGAATGGAAAGCTCTCTAAAATGGACCCCATGCTTCCAAGCATTCTTAAACATAGTATGAAGAACACAATCTAACCTCTTCCTGATATGGTTCGGATGTGCGCTCCTCCAAATCTCATCTTGAAATGTGACCTCCAATGTGAGAGATGGGCCTAGTGAGAGGTGTCTGAGTGAAAGGGGAAGATCTCTCATGAATAGCTTGGTGCTGTCCTTACAATAATGAGTGAGCTGTCACGCTATTAATTCATGCCAGAGCCGGCTGTTTAAAAGAGCCTGGGACCTCCTCCCCTGTCTCTTGCTCCCTCTCTTGCCATGTGACATGCTGGCTCCCCTTCACCTTCCACCAGGACTACCTTCCCGAAGCCTTCATCAGAAGCGCAGCAAGATACTGGTGCCATGTTTGTAGAGCCTGCAGAACTGTGTGCTGAATAAACCTCTTTCCTTTATAAATTATCCAGTCTCTGGTATTCCTTTATAGCAATGCAAAACAGACTACCACAGGGTCTCAATTAATTCATATTAATCTCTATTATTCTAGAGTCCTGTGTTAATACAACAATGTCCTCAATATCAGCTTAAGTGCATAGAGCTGTTTGTCTCCATTTCTTTTCTTTTCTCTTTTTTTGGAGACAGGGTCTCACTCAGTTGTCTAATCTGGAGTGCAATGGTGTGATCATAGCTTACTACAGCCTCCACCTCCTGGGCTCAAGCAATCCTCCTGCCTCAGCCCCTCAAGTGGCTGGGACCACAGGTGCTTGCCTCTTTTTTAGTCCCAGATTTCTGCGTGTTTGTCTGCATCTTCTCTCTTTGCCTGGCTGTGACTTCTCCCTGCAGCCATATGTCTACCTTTCATACCCCTTATCTCTGTTAGTGATTGGAAAGTTGGGTCCAAGTTTGTGAAAATTTTTTATTTGTTAACTAAAAATATATTCATTCTGGTGAACATCTGACAGTTTAAGAGGAATGGATATGAGCCTTTTTATTTTTTATTTTTCGCTCTGCCTGTTCCAGATTATATCTTATTATCAATTGATGTATAATGCAATAAAAGCTTTTTATAAACCATAAAGCATTAATACAGCTATAAAGTAGTGTGAGTATCTTTACTGATTTTTGTGCAACCTGCATTTCCCAGCTAGCCAGCCATGCCCACCCCTTCTAGGCCCTGAACTGAAGGCACTTATCCACCTACTGGTTATCTTTATTAAGTGACTGGGCAAATAGATTGAGATGGTGCCAGTAGTGTAGAAATAGATTGTACCAGGATCTTGGATTTTATGTTCAGGAGTCACAGTTGGCTCATTTTTGCAACAAGTTCGACTGAGCATCCTGGCCACTATGCTATTCCAGGCCCCAGGCTTGCTGGAAGCATTGGGGCGGGTGTCCAGGTGGAACTCTGTAATTTCCCTGGAGGCTGGTGGGGCCTGGGGCACCTGGAACCCTCAGGGCAGTCTCCTCCTGCTGAGAGCAGCCTTAGTGGTTTATCTCAGTTTGCTGTACAGATTTCATGCGCTGTGTATGTCATGGTGTGAAAAATGCTGAGAAGGCCGGATGTTAGGTGGTTATACTGAGTTGCAAGTTGTTGCATTGAAGGTTATGGATGGCGTGTCCTCTACCCTGCTTGGCAGGCTTTGCTGCAAATGCATTTTTTGTCCTTGTCACAGTAAACAGAGACATCTATATTTGAGAGTTCACTCTCATTAAGCTACTGATTTAGTTCTCTGTGAGACAACCAGGCTGGTCCTAATATATGAAAGTGTTTTAATAGTTAAATTCATTCAGGCTGGGCATAGTGGTTAATGCCTGTAATCCCAGCACTTTGGGAGATGGAGGTGGGCAAATCACCTGAGGTCAGGAGTTCAAGACTAGCCTGGCCAACATGGTGAAACCCTGTCTTTACTAAAAATACAAAAATTAGCCAGGCGTGGTGGCGCATGCCTGTAATCCCAGCTACTCGAGATGCTGAGGCAAGAGGTAGGCTGAGGCAGGAGCCTGAGCTTGAGCCCAGGAGGCGGAGGCTGCAGTTAGCCAAGATCGCCCCACTGCACTCCAGCCTGGGTGACAGAGAGACTCTGTCTCAAAAAAAAAAAAAAAAGTTAAATTCATTCATTGGACACGTATTTCTTGAGCACAGACAATGTAATAAACTCTGGAGACACAGGTTGAATAACATAAGACTCTTCCTCCAGTGGGCTTGGGAGGGAGATGGCTGGGTACACAAACAGTCACCATCTGATGTGATGAAAGCCCCGCACAATTCTGACCTTCATAAGGGGACACTTACCCTGCCCTTTCTCTCCTGTTCCAAACACGACATGAACATAGCATGACAAGATTCTCAATCTCGCTAAACACCTCATGGTATGTTTGACCTCCTATGTCATAGTTCTTTGTGATATAACAGCTTATTGCATGATTGAAGACTCATGGGTTCATTACATTGCTTATCCTCCTATCCTATCTGCAGCCTCTAGTCCAAGGCTCCCAAGGGCCCCACGATATCTGATGCATCTTAGCACAGAGCAAGCTAATGCCGACTCATGCCACATCCCCGTTACACACAAGAGGTCAGAGAGGAAGCAGGGCAGAGCAGTTTTCCTCTGAGCCAGACCTCAGAGGTGGCCGTGGTATTTTTGTTTTCCCTTCCACCAAACAAAAGGTTTGTTACACCTACAAACTTTCCACTGTAAATGAGGTTGAGACTTCATTGAGAAAGATCTGGAATGGAACAGATTAGGTTTTTAAAACCGAATTAAGCTTGAAACAAAAGTTGAGTCAACTATGATGATAATAACATTTGACCTACAAGAATGAAAGGAAACTACACAAGTAAACAAAGCCACATTTAATGATGGAGGCCTATTTGCTTTGTTTTGAAAATACAGGATTATTTTGAGCTTCAAAAGGAAATGTGCTTACGCACAATTTGAAGGTTGTAGTTTCCGTCTCAAAGAAAAATGATTGGAGATTTCACTTGGGTAAAATTTAAGAGAGCTTTGTCCTTTGAGCACCTAAAATCTTCAGAGTTAAGTTGTGATTTGTCTTTTTTGTCTGATAATGACTACAACTAATGTTAACTGAGCATTTGCCAAGGACTATGCCAATGAATTATCTCTTACTAATCAGAAACACAGCACAGTAGTGGTGAGCCAAATTTTATGTTGCTTTTGTTGTATGATAAAAGATTCAAGAGATATAAAAGAAAGAAAAATAAGGTTATCTCTGAATACAGCATGTGGCATTGCTGTTCTACTGGTAATTATGTGAAGGGCAAGATCACTTTTGAGAACATGCTCGTTACTCCTCCAAGACCACATTTAGAGTCCGCATGATCCAAGGACAGCAGCTGTGTTTGTTATCAATTCAGATTCTACTTTGTACTTTGTGGAACCCAATAATGTACCAGCAAGAAACTCGAGTCTCCTATGTTGAGAAAAATGTGACTTTGGCTGTAAGGAGGTTTCAAGAGGCAAAGATTTTTAGTCTCCCTGAACAAAATTTTGTGTTTTGTTTTTTTTTCCAGGAGAGGTTCATATCAATGCTTGGAATATCTGAAGTACAGGCATTCTGGAATTAATGAATATACCACCCATTCAAGCAAGTCAGGGAGTTGTGTTGCAAATGGGAAGGCTTCTCATGGGCCTGGAGACCAGAAGGCAATTGCAGACCCCTTCCTCTTCCCAGGGCAGCCAGCTCACCAAGCTTCTGTCACACTGGCCTCTTTCTGTTCGTCCAACACATGACTCATCTTTTGCATTGGGGCCTTTGTATCTATGTACATTCTGCCTGGAAGGCTCCTTGAACTCTGCTCTTTTTTTTTCTTAGCTCAAAAATCAAGATTTTTTTTCCCCTGACTGTCTTATCTAAAGTAGACTTTCTCAAGTTAGGGCGTCTATTCTAGTCTACAATTGTATGTTATTGCAGGTCATTATTATCTGGCTCCCTTCACCTCCATGTAAGATCCATGACAGCAGGCCCTGTGTCCCTCTTGTTCACCAGTGGGGTCCACTTGACATATAGTTGTTGCTCAATGCACGTGTGTGTGTATGTATGTGTGTGTGTGTGTATATATACACACACACATATACATACATATTATATTTTATATATACATATATATATATATATATATATTTAGAGACAGCGTCTCACTCTGCTGCCCTGGCTGGAGTGAAGTGGCATGATCATAGCTCACTGCAGCCTTGACCTCCTGGGCTCGACAAATCCTCTTGCCTCAGCCTCCTGAATAGCTGAGACTACAGATGTGCACTGCCACACCTGGCTTATTATAATTATTATTATTATTTATTTGTAGAGACAGGGTCTCGCTGTGATGCCCAGGCTAGTCTTGAACTCCAGGCCTCAAGGGATCCTCCCAACTCAGCCTCCCAAAGTACTGGGATTATAGACATGAGCCATTGCACTGGCTCAATGCATATTTATTAAGTGAATGAATGAATGAGAAGTGAATTCATGAATAAATGAATAATATGAATTTAGCTATATTAGCAAAATGGGATATTACAGGACAGCACACAAACCTTATTACTGTTGTTTCTCTGAAAAATATGCCCCCTGAGAATGCAACTTGTGAATGGGCAAGAGACTACATAAAAGGGTTAAAAAGGGCTAGGGCATCAAAAGTAGAAATAACAATATACAGACATGAAATTTGCCTCTGAAGAAGCATAAAGGAAATCTGCTTGCCTTGAATAATCTTTAAGTCTGAAAACACTTCATCTATCAAAATCCTGTCACGTGTCACTAGTTCCCACTCCCAATAACACTTTTCTTGAGAAGATAGAAATGTGCACCCACATTCTTGACTGCATCACGCTTCCTGCAAACATTGCGGGTGGAGAGACGGGAGAAAAAGCATCAGGGAAGTGTTGAAATAACTCATATTAGTGACCCCTAATTCCACAGTCAGTTTTAAGTGGGCAACTCTGTCTTCAGAAGCCTTAGGCTTTTGAATCTGTAGAAATCTGCAGCTCACAATGTAAGCTGTTGGCTACCAGGAAATGAAGGGATGAAATACTAATTTGATGAGTAGAGGAGGGAGGATGTTTGCTCATAGAGTTGTCTGCAGGTTGTGAGAGAGTGCCAGAATTTGGGCTTCTGGAGGAGGGAGAGAAGATTGGAGCAGTCTGAAAGAGAAAAACAAAGTCCTCTGGTCCTGAGACCTTCCGCCAGGGATTGAGAGGCTGGGGTAGAGGTTAGGGGCTGGAGGGAGAAGTGAGAGCTGCAGTTTGGGGAAGTTCTGGGATCTTCTGCTTCTATCCCTGCACACAGCAAGCCATTGGGATTTTCCAAAGCTTCAGGATAGATGAGACAGTGCGGCCCAGAGTCTGAAGTGGCCTCAGCTATGTAGGCAGAAATATGTTGGTGATGCCTGAAGGTTCTTGTGTGAGCATGAGAGTAAGCTGGCAGCTAATTCCCTGCCACTGAGCCTGCTCCTTCTTGTCTTAGGGTTACAGTCTTGGGTTACGGTGTCACTGACATAATCTCCAAAGATCTGATCATGTCTTCTAATGTGTCCTAAGAACCACTTGAGAGGTACCAAGTCCTGTAGAGATTCAGAGGAGGAAAAGTGCACTTCTGGCTGTGGGTCAGGAAAAGGCTCCAGGAAAGAGCTGGCTCGGAGGGATAAGGAGGCTTTTAGTGGATGGGGAAAGAAAAGCATTCAAAGATGAAACAGCGAGAGCAAAGTACAGAGGGAACGCAGAGGTGTTGTCAAAGACTGATGTGGAGACCTGCTGCATGTACTTGGGAGGAGAGGGAGGGGCTAACAGCCACTGGGAACTATGGATGGAGGCAGTGTTCTCAAGAAGAGTAAAACAGTAAAAACAAACAAACAAAAACAAAACAAAACAAAAACAGAGGCTGATGACAAAGGAGGCACTTGAAAAACACCACTTTTGCCAGGGATTGATTGGCATCACCTTCTCCTGAATGAAGTAATCATTTCTTTGACAATAGATATTTATTAAATTCCCACTACATTGCCAGGTGCCATCCTGACTTTGGGAATAAAACAAAGGCTAGTAAAGATGAAAACAAAAGTCCCTTCCTTCGTGGAGTTTACATTTCAGTGGGGAAGATAGGAAGTAAACAAATAACAAAGTCAGTCAGAAAGTGGTAAATCCTATGGAGAAGAATACAGCTCAGCCGGGGAGCAAGGGTACCGGCAGTGGCACAGAAGCCGTGTTGTCTGGGACTGTGAAAGCAGACACTCTGCCTCCCAAGGTTTCATGCACATGCTCATTCATTCATTCATGCTCTTTGCTTATATTTATTTTGCCAGGCACTGGGGCAGAGCTATAAACAAGATGAGCAAAATCTATTCCTCATGGAGCTCAGGGTCGAGTAAGCAAGTAACAAATAAATAATATCATGATAAGTAGTGGTAGTGGTCATTGTGATAGAGAAAAATAGCAGAGGAAGGAGATAAGAAGGGACGGGGGTGGGGGGTGGGTGGGGGATAGTAAGGAGATGATACTTGAGCACAGAAGGAATGAACTATGAATATCCCAGGAGGAGAAAAGCAAGGACAAATGCCCTGAGAGGCACTGAATTTTGAGTGTCACGGAATGGTAAATTCATGCATGACAATGTCTTCTCTCTCCTCTTCTTTCTTTTATATTAAACACATCTGCTTCTCGGCAAAGGATCTGTGTAAAGCAAGGCATCATCTTACTGCAAGGGGAGACATCGCTGGGGTCTGGTTAGAAGATCTGGCTCTATTTTCTCCAATGAAGGTCTTTATAGGAAATCTGCATTAGTGCCTTGTCCATGTTCATAGACCCTCTGCTTCATGGCAGAAGGGCGCTGACTTGAAGGCCCCTAAGCAGCGAAGGAAGGGGAGCCTCTGTCCCCTCCCTAGCTGGCTTCCCTGGCACATGCTGGTTTCCCTCCAATTCTGTGGTGCACATCATGACCAGCAGAGGAAAGAATTCAGCTGGACCACCTCAAGCTCTGTGTGACGGAGTTGAAAGCTTTGCTGATGTATATGTTGGTGGTCAAGGAAGGCTTTCTGAACACTTACCTGGTGCCCACAGAGGCTCTGAGAGCTGGAAGCTGGAAAGAGTCAGTCTGGGGTCCTAAAAGGTATCTTCTCTTCAGTGCCAACATCAGGGGCATATTGGTGATAGAAACAGGGTCTCTGCATGGCTACAGGCACCATTAATTGGTTCAGTTTTCTTCCATTTCTCCTGAGCTCACCCTGACCCTATGCACTGCTGACCAGGAATTCTAACCCGCAGCATCGTGGGTGGGCCCACCTTGCAGCCTCATCACGGTTGAGTTTGTTACTCTTATTGATGAAGAAACTGAGACTCAGAAGGATAAAGGCCCCGACCCAGGGTTACACAGTGGTGGGGCAAGGACATGAGCCCAGCTTCTCTCACTTAGAGGAAATCTGCAAGGACGATCATTGTGCTGAAAGAGGAGTGGGAGGGGGTCTGAACTTCTGAGGCAGCCTCGCTTCTGCAGCGTTGTCTGTGGTAAGGACACACCACCCTGGCTGCACATTAGAATCACCTGGGCAGCTTTTAAAACTTACCTCGGGCCAATTAAAACAGAATCTCTGGAGGGGAGACCCAGGCATCGGGGTTTTTTTTCCAAAACTGCCCAAATGGTTCCAATGTGTAGCCCAGATTAAGAACCACTGTTTAATGGCAAACTCAGTTGCAGCTGTTGAAAAGTTTTTTAAATGCAATAATCTTGGAATTCTCTTGTTTTAAAAAGGACTAATAGCTTGCTATTTCTTCCTTCTCTGGTCACTCCAGAGTAGTCATTTTTCAAGATAAGGACCTGGGTTAAGTGAGCATAAAAACATGAATAAAAATTAAAATAAATTACTAAGTGAGAAATAAAAGCCATGAATAATGTAACAAGGGGAAGAGCTGGAAGAACTAGGGCAGAAAGCAAAGCAGAGAAAAGAAGAAGAGGGTCACTGGGGAAGCCTCTGTGGAGTTGGAATAAAAATGGAGGAAGGAAAGCTGGTGTGTAAATCCTGTCTTTTTGATACTCGGGCCCAGTAAGTATCTAGGATACCTGAGGGATTTCAGTTCTTGCAGATGATTGACAAGCTCCAGCCACAGGCTGCCAGCATCCCGCAGAAAGAGCAGCCATGCCCAGGTCTGTACAGCGTGTTCTAGACTGAGCAGGGCACGGTGAAGAGCAGTAGAATTGCAGTCACATGGCCAGGCATGGTGGCTCACTCCTGTAATCCCAGCACTTTGGGAGGCCGAGGCAGGCAGATCACGAGCTCAGGAGTTTGAGACCAGCCTGGCCAACATAGTGAAGTCCCGTCTCTACTAAAAATACAAAAATTAGTCGGACATGGTGGCGCATGCCTGTAGTCCCAGCTACTCGGGAGGCTGAGGCAGGAGAATTGCTTGAATCCGGGAGGCAGGGGTTGTGGTGAGCCGAGATGGTACAACTGCACTCCAGCCTGGGCAACAGAGTGAGACTCTGTCTCAAAAGAAAAAAAAAAAAAAAAGACCGCACACGCATATAGGTGTCAAAAAAAAAAAAAAAAAAGAATTGTGTCACGTAAGCCCCAGGCCTTTGTATTGGAATCCAGGGGAGATGATGAGGAGGAAGGGGCCTTGTTTTGTTCGAAAAAGCCCCAGTGATTTGGTCATACTCCTTCCCTCTGCCTTCCCTTTTCTTCTCCACCCCTACACTGAGAATTACTGTCCCCACAAGGGCTCACCCGTGTGACCAGCTCTCCTGCAGGTCCAAAACAATCCAAAACTTTGTGACTAGCATATCATTTGCACCTTCCAGGCAGCTTCTGAAGGAACACACTCCCACTGGGAAGGGTGGCAGGTAATGATTCCCGGAACCTGTCACTCAATGATTGACATTAGTCTTAGTCATGGTTACCACCAAAACTTCCCCAAAGGAGGGACGTCCGGGTCCTTTGATTGACCAATAGTATATTCTCTAGGAAGATTTGCTTCCAACCAATTCCCAGCAAGCTCAAGCAATAGATGACAAAATTTTATAAACCCAAATATTTTATCAAATGGTAACCAAGTTTTGGGTCTTCGGATAACACGTTGTTTCTTAGACACAGTCCACTAAATAGAGACCTCCCCATAAATGATTTGTTTGTTTGAACTGGTGATTCTTCGTCATCAATTTATTATGGTTGAAAGTTGAGAAGGCACATACAATTGCCAGATATTTGGGGGACAATTGGAAGGCACCGAGTTTCCTAAATGACCTATATGAAATTGTAGTTGAGCTGGGGCAAGACAGTTAGGAGCATATTTGGATGAATTTTGTTCTCAGGTATTGTAAAGAGTTACGTATATGTATAGTTTTACCCCAACCTATTTGACCTGCAAAAACCTTCTTGAGGTATGGGAGTTTTGATTAACAAGTACTCATTACACTATCTGAAGACCTTGTCTGTAAATCTAGAATATATAAACAGTTACTATGAACATAGCTGAAAAGGAAAAGTTGACCCTGCAGGGCCTTCCTGCCTCCTGGATACACTCCAAGTGGCACCTTTCCCTTTGCTTTATAAAATGGCATATTCCAGAATGTTATCAAAGTGTGTCTTAAAAGATATCAACACCCTCAATGATTTACAGTGTCACTATGGTTTCTTGTAAGAAAGAAAAAAAAATCCAAATTGGCAAACTGGTATAAATGGTGCATAACAATATTTTTTTGATGGCCTAGGACAGCCAATGGGTGCCTTTAATGTGAATGGCTGCAAAGGTGCTTTCGATACCTGTGTGTAAATGTGGAAAGCCAAAGCTTTCACACCACATGGTGCAGGCCCAGCAGAAGTGGCCGTAGACTCAGAAACTCCCAAACAAACATGTAACTTAACAACTCTATCAAACTAACCAAAATGTTCCCATTGAATCATCTAAAATAAGATGAGACCTCTCTTGCCTTCACGGAATTAGTCAAGTTCCTCTCCCATATGATTACATCTCTGGCAGAAGCTCCCTTCAGGCCTAACCCACTTTTTAAAGCATGGCTGGTGTTGTATACTTGTTAGTGGGAAAGGGACACCTCTTATCTCTTAGAAATACAATCAGGTGGTGAAAAGGAGAAATAGTCATAGACCATTTGATTGGTGGCCAGGAGAAGAACGAGCCACAGGCTCAGCATTTGGATGTTTGACCAATCCCTGGGCTCAGCTAGAATAGCACAGAGAAACATGCTTGTTCAGCAGATATTCAGAATCCCCAAAGCTACCCAACCCAAAGTCAAGCCATGTTCTGGGAGTCTCGCTGATATATTTTAAATAGATTCCAGGGAAAGATCACGCCCTACCGAGAAATAGTATGAGTTGGCAAACTTTTTGTGAATAAGGGCCAGATAGTAAATTTTCTCTTTTTTTGAGATGGAGACTTGCTCTGTGCAGTGGCGCGATCTTAGTACCATATTGTGGCAGAGCATGGAAGGCGCGATCTCAGCTCACTGCATCCTCTGCCTCCCGAGTTCAAGTGATTCTCCTGCCTCAGCCTCCTGAATAGCTGGGACTGCAGGTGCCCACCATCACACCCAGCTAATTTTTTGTATTTTTAGTAGAGAATAGGGTTTCACCGTGTTAGCCAGGTTGGTCTCGATCTCCTGACCTCATGATCCGCCCACCTCAGCCTCCCAAAGTCCTGGGATTACAGGCATGAACCACTGCACCCGGCTGATAGTGAACATTTTAGGTTTTGCAGGCCACATGGTCTCTGTCACAACTATTCAATTCTACTATTGCAATGCAAAAGCAGCCACAGACTGTGTGGAAATGAATGAATGTGGCTGTAGTCTAATAAAACTTTATTTACAAAGACAGACCATGTGCCAGGTTTGGCTGAGGGCCGTAGTTTGCCAAACTCCTCTCCCTATTTATATTATTGAGAATGATCTGTGTAGGTGGAAGATGGACGTGTTCACCAAATTATAGAGTATGACTTTTAGAGGCCAGTATAGGGTAGTGGTAAAGAATATGGACTCTGAAGCCTGAATTCAGATCCTTACTCCACGAGCTGGATAACCTTGAGCAAATTATTATACCACTCTGTGCTTCATCTATATGAGGCACATACTTTTATCTATACAATGAAGTTTTAATCATCTATGAAATGAGGATAATAATAGAACTTAGTGTTATAATTTGGGTTCATCCCAAAGTGGACCCAGATAAAAGGACTTAGATAGAAGTGATTTTTTGAGAGGTGATCCCAGGAAGTACAAGTGAAGGAATAAGGGCGAGTGAGAGCGCGGGGAGAGAAGCTCTTGAAGGGGGCGTAAAGGAGCAGTCATTCTTGAGGGCAATGGAGGCACCATCATGTTGAGGACCTTCACAGTATTGTACAGGACAGGGAACTGGGATGTTTACCTGTGCACGCATGTTCCTCACTGTCATTCCATGTCAAACTGTCCACTGTGACTGCAGGTGTAATCAGGAAGTGGACTGAGGGCACATGGATGGGCAATAGTGTCTGCCACACGATTTCACAGGGCTGTTATAAAGATGACATGAATTTGTATTTGCAAAGCACATGGGGGAAAAATGCCTGGTCTTTAGGAAATGTCATTTAAGTGATTGCCAAATAAAGAGTGGGTATCCTTTGAAGCAGTAGGAAAGAATATTAGGCATAACAAAGATTAAATTGTTGAAATTTCATATCTGTAAAGGTAATATGGGTGGAACACTGAAACAAGTTCCACAATAGATTATGAAGGAACACTAGAAATGCCAGGAAACATGTAGGTAGATTATAAGCAGTGGCCTCTTCAACTCTGTAAAGTTGTCAGTCAATACCGTGTACTACATTAGCTGATGACAGTGATCCGGAGTGACCCTAGGAAGGCTGGGGACACAGGAAAACAAATAAAATGTATGCCATATTTAATCTATGCCTAGTTGTTATAATTTGGCACTGTAATTAGGCACAAATGACATGTTCTTTACATGAATTATTATAATTTGAATTACTTTTATGCAACCCTATAAAAGGTTTTTCTTTTTTTGGAGACAGTCTTGCTCTTTGCCCAGGCTGGAGTGCAGTGGCAGGATCTCGACTCACTGCAACCTCCACCTCCCGGGTTCAAGCAATTCTTCTGCCTCAGCCACCCAAGTAGCGGGGATTATAGGTGTGTGCCACCATGCCTGGCTTACTTTTGTATTTTTAGTAGAGATGGGGTTTCGCCATATTGGCCAGGCTGGTCTCAAACTCCTGACCTCAGGTGATCCACCCACCACAGCCTCCCAAAGTGCTGAAAATACAGGCATGAGCCACTGTACCCGGCCCCATTAAAAGATTCTCTTATTTGGTTAGTCCTTCAGTACCTAAAATTAGGAAAAGATTGTCCATTTTTCCTAATACAGTTTAATCGTTTCAACCACCTGTGTGCATGAATGAAAGTGTAGAAACGTAACCCACATACTCTGGCCTTTTGTTTACAACCTTCCTGACTCTCAATTCCATTCATTCTCACCCTGTCGGGTCTCTCCCACATGCCCCCATCCCTCCCCTGTTTTTCATGTGATTTTAAGGCATATGCATGTATTTCCCCTCCTCTTTTCCTGAGTGGTCTGGCTGGTGGCAGACTCTGTGTGGGGAAGTGTGCTCTTATCTTAGTACCATACTGTGGCGGAGATGAGAGAGAGAGAGAGAGATCCCTGACTCAGGAGGCGATAGGAGGAGCACAGTAGATATGAGCCCTGGCTCTTTTGTGTCTAGCAGTTCCAGGTAGATGGAAAGTGAAGGGTTGGACTTAATGAGAAATAAGGCTGTGAGAAGAAAGTGCTCAAGAAAGTTGGTTCTTGTTTCCAGGATTTCACTGCAAAAGCCTAAACAACAATCTTTGGCATGGGTCAAAGAATAAACCTACAACCACTTTCAAGAACCAGGGGAATAATCTTGAGTGGGAAGAGGAGGAAACAGCCATGCCTCCTATCCAACCTTGCCAGGCTCTTGTGTTACTGAAATAGAATAGTCTTCAGAGACACTTCCAGCATGTGTCACAGTCAAATGCTTTTGGCTGCAAGAAACAGAAACAAAACCAACTGAAAGTGGCTTAAGGTATAAGGAAATTTCGTATTACACAAAAGAAAATGTCCAAGATTGCTAAATTCATTGGTTCAAAAAATGTAATCCAGGATCCAAACTCTATTCTGCCAACCTTCATGTGTCATCCTTGTCCTCGGGCTGGCTCTCCCCACGGTTGAAGGTGTCTACTGCCTCTCTGTGTATCACAACAAACACAACCACATCCAGAGGAAGAAGAAACCGTCTTCATGTGTGCCTCTTTTAGGAGTGAGGAAAGCTTTCCCAGAAGTCACCCAGCAGACTTTCTGCCAGAACTCTTTGGTCACAATAGACTGCAAGGTCAGTCCTAAACAAGCCATGGGCAAGAGCAGGACCATCATGGCTGGCTCAGATGGATAAGAATTGACTGCCGGAGCTAGGCTGGAGCTGGTGACTCCCTTGAGTCACATCAGGGAGGAATAGGTTCCAAAGCAACTTTGGAACTCTGCCAACAAAGAAGGGGGTGGATTGAATGTTGGCTGACTACCAACAGTAGGGTTGTGAAGATGTCCTGGAGCCCCACTGATACTGTTTCTTTTTCCCAGCCTTTCCTACTTATTAGCAAATGGCTAAAGCTCCTTTGAAAAAATAAGAGCTCTTTGATGCCACAATTTCAAATGAAAAGCACTAAAGTCGGGCGTGGTGGCTCACGCCTGTAATCCCAGCACTTTGGGAGGCCAAGGCGGGCGGAGATCGAGACCATCCTGGCTAGCACAGTGAAACCCCATCTCTACTAAAAATACAAAAAATTAGCCTAGCATGGTGGTGGGCACCTGTAGTCCCAGCTGCTCGGGAGGCTGAGGCAGGAGAATGGCGTGAACCCAGGAGGCGGAGCTTGCTGTGAGCCGACAACGTGCCACTGCACCCCAGCCTGGGTGACAGAGAGAGACTCCGTCTCAAAAAAAAAAAAAAAAAGAGGAAAAGAAAAACACTGAAGTATGAATGTGGGTAGGAAGAGTGTGAGTTGGATGAGTTTCCCTTTAATTGGAAAAGTCTAACATGCAGTCTTTTCTTCTTTGGAAAGAGGAAGAGTACTAGAAATTAGAAAGGTACTTGGTACCTCAAGAGGTTGGCATAACCCTTTGTATACAAATTTATTGTAGTATTTACCATCTATTGTGGTTATTTACATATATATGTCACCCCTACCACTCTCTGAGTCCTTGATGGGCAGGGGACTACACTATTCTTCATCACATCCCTGAAACCAGGGCGGACCAGCACATATTTCCTGTCCTGCCAAGCTTCACTCATGCTCACCTTGGTAGGAACTGTGATGAGAAACACTTAGCTCCGTCTTGTAACCCAGACATACGTAAGTCTGGCTCATGCTGGTCAGATGGTTCCAGCTGACTAGGTACCTTTTCTTGCTCCCAGTTCCTGATGACATTTTCTTGAAAGAATTTGTCCACATCTAATCACCCTCTCCCCACACATATTCCTGCCCCTTACATCTTGAGTTACTGCTTCTCTCCTGCATTTTTAGTTATTTCCTCTCAATTCTTCTCCCTTTTAGGTCCCCAGCCAGCTTCAAGCTCCAGAAGACACTCCTCTGCTTTATCTTTAACTAAATGCCAGTCTATCGGTTATTTTAACATCTATTAACTACTGTAATACCACTATGGTTTTTGTCTTGGCTGCATTTGTCATTTCCTCTGATACCTTTTTCGTTAGGTTCATGTTTTCCTATTTTCCCCAACAATCTTCTCCTCCGCTGAGACCCATAGTCCCCACTGTTCTATTTCTGCCAATCACCATCTTATCTATTATACAGGAGCAGCCACCAAACTCCCATTTGCATCAACATGCAAAAGATGAATTATGTGTCCACAAAAAGGGGAACAAACACAAAAGAGGCAGTCCTGGATTTCCAAATGCCTCATACAAATGGGCAGTTGTACACGATCCCCCTGCACCCATCCCATCACACTCTTCAGTGCATATAAACTAGGAGGCTGCAGCATGCATAAATTCAATAAGTGCTTTCAGAAACCTATCAAGAAGAAATCTAATGTTCTTTTCCCTTCTACAGTTGATCCTAGTTTGTACCCATGCAAATGATGCTGATATTTAGACAACTTTAAAGGGCTTATAAAGTCCACAAAGGACTCTGACACCCAAATTAAAGTTGTATCCTTAGTTCACCTCACTGTGCAAAAGTATTGCCAAATATTTGGTGAAGTTAATCCCTATCTGACCACCTCCGCAATCACTAACCACAACAGGAGAAGTTAAAGAAATGAATTCCAGGCATGCATTATGATTTATTTGCTGTGTGAGTTTTAAGCTAAATCCTTAACTTTTGATATATATTTGATTTTCAGAATAGGCTGCAGAAGAACAAACTTAATGTAACTGCTTCACTGTAGTGTGAAAGACTGTCTCAGGCTCCTCTGAATCTGCTGTCATTTCTGTTGATTCATGAGGTTGGGTTATATTTTGCAAATTTTCTTTAATTAGTGTATATGTGTATTGTATATACGTTGCAGGTTCTTCTTTACTCCATTGTGGAGATGACTGTATAAGCTGTCAATGTCTATTCCCAGTGGTTCATGCTTTCTATTCTGCAACCAAAGAGAGAACAAGTTGATCAGCGATGTGGCAGTAATGCATATGTAAGGGCCTAGAAACCAGTGGTAAGAACATGAGTTTATGGAAACACTGCATACCAGCCCCTAAGGGAGTAATTACAGATAGACTTTGAAGCTGCTTAATAACTGGCAGCATCATAGATTTTTTGTAATCACCTGAGAAGCTGTAGATTAGCCTAATACAGTTCCAAGTACACAGAGGGTGGACAACAACCACTTGTTGAGCTGACTTGAAGCTTAAGAAGAAAGGCTGAAGCCTGTGCACATGGGAGGGGAGGAGCACCTAACCCGTTCTTAGAAATGAATGAAATCTCAGTGCTCTGTCTTCTAGCCCCTTTTGAGTTTGAAGTCAATTTTCCTAAGGTCAGTGTTTGAAGAGGAAGGAGTGGATTGGGGAAAAAGATCAAGGATGAGGTTATAAAGCTAACAACTTGAATTTACTAGGAGCTTACTATAGACCAAATACTATCATGATGAATGAAAGGAAACTCTGGACTCAGGAGCTTTAAACTAACTCTGCTATTTAATTAAAAGTCAGGAAACAACAGGTGCTGGAGAGGATGTGGAGAAATAGGAACACTTTTACACCGTTGGTGGGACTGTAAACTAGTTCAACCATTGTGGAAGTCAGTGTGGCGATTCCTCAGGGATCTAGAACTAGAAATACCATTTGACCCAGCCATCCCATTACTGGGTATATACCCAAAGGACTATAAATCATGCTGCTATAAAGACACATGCACACGTATGTTTGTTGAGGCACTATTCACTATAGCAAAGACTTGGAACCAACCCAAATGTCCAACAATGATAGACTGGATTAAGAAAATGTGGCACATATACACCATGGAATACTATGCAGCCATAACAAATGATGAGTTCATGTCCTTTGTAGGGACATGGATGAAATTGGAAATCATCATTCTCAGTAAATTATCGCAAGAACAAAAAACCAAACACTGCATATTCTCACTCATAGGTGGGAATTGAACAATGAGATCACATGGACACAGGAAGGGGAACATCACACTCTGGGGACTGTTGTGGGGTGGGGGGAGGGGGGAGGGATGGCATTGGGAGATATACCTAATGCTAGATGATGAGTTAGTGGGTGCAGCGCACCAGCGTGGCACATGTATACATATGTAACTAACCTGCACAATGTGCACATGTACCCTAAAACTTAAAGTATAATAATAAAAGAAAAAAAAAAGAAATTAATTTATAATATGTCTTCATAGTATTCAATCTACTCTGGCATTTCAAAATAAAGCGAAGCCATTTTAATTTGCTCTTATACTCAAAAACTGACGAGGAAACAATAGTAAAGGATTTTATTATGCAAGAAAAAAAAGAAGACTGTGGATATAATCAGAATTGATGTTGATTTATAAAGAAAAGAAAATTGGCCAAAGTTTAGTACAGTTGTGGACATTAATCACAATATTCTTTTTTTTTTTTTTCTTTTTGAGACAGAGTTTCACTCTTGTTGCCCGGGCTGGAGTGCCATGGAATGATCTCAGCTCACTGCAACCTCCGCCTCCTGGGTTCAAGTGATTCTCTTGCCTCAGCCTCCCAAGCAGCTGGGATTACAGGCATGCACCACCACGCCCAGCTAATTTTGTGTTTTTAATAGAGACGGGGTTTCTCCATGTTGGTCAGGTTGGTCTCAAACTCCCAACCTCAGGTGATCCACCCACCTCGGCCTCCCAAAGTGCTGGGATTACAGGCGTGAGCCACTGTGTCCGGCCTAATCACAATATTCTTGAAAATGACTTATTCCAACCAGACTGTCCTTCTCTTCTGTGGCAGGAAGAAGCAATGTGCTGTGGGCCAAACAGCAGAACAGGACTTGCTGTCTCATGTATTCCTTAACAAATATTTATTGGGTCTTATTAAGTGCCATGCACTGTACTAAACATGGAGGATATGACAATGAATGAAATGAACTCCCTATGCCTAAGTAAGTCATTGTCTGGAAGGGAACAATGTAATGTCAAGGTCAATAGAATATGAACATTTTAAGAGAGGGAAAGTATCAAGTATAAGAAGCATATAAAGGAGCATGTAGTCCAGTTTCAGGGAGGAAAGGAAGAAGAAGAAGAGGGCCATCTAAAGCAAAGACCTGGAAGAGCAGTAGAAAGCAAAGATTGGGGCAGAAACGTTTCAGAGAGAGGGAAGGAACTATTGTGCAAGGCCCCAAGTTCAGGGCTGTAGCCAGGAAGGAATGAAAACAATGGTGGAGTCACACTGGGAAATGGGATGTTGCTCTGGGCATTCAGACCATGTTCCTAAGGGCAGTAGGACAATAACCATTATTCTTTTTTTTTTTTTTTTTTGTGATTTAAAAACTACAAGTTTATATTCTTAAGCTTTTTTTTAAATTTATTATTATTATGCTTTAAGTTTTAGGGTACATGTGCACAATGTGCAGGTTAGTTACATATGTATACATGTGCCACGCTGGTGCGCTACACCCACTAACTCATCATCTAGCATTAGGTATATCTCCCAATGCCATCCCTCCCCCCTCCCCCCACCCCACAACAGTCCCCAGAGTGTGATGTTCCCCTTCCTGTGTCCATGTGTTCTCATTGTTCAATTCCCACCTATGAGTGAGAATATGCAGTGTTTGGTTTTTTGTTCTTGCGATAATTTACTGAGAATGATGATTTCCAATTTCATCCATGTCCCTACAAAGGACATGAACTCATCATTTGTTATGGCTGCGTAGTATTCCATGGTGTATATGTGCCACATTTTCTTAATCCAGTCTATCATTGTTGGACATTTGGGTTGGTTCCAAGTCTTTGCTATAGTGAATAGTGCCTCAATAAACATACGTGTGCATATGTCTTTATAGCAGCATGATTTATAGTCCTTTGGGTATATACCCAGTAATGGGATGGCTGGGTCAAATGGTATTTCTAGTTCTAGATCCCTGAGGAATCGCCACACTGACTTCCACAATGGTTGAACTAGTTTACAGTCCCACCAACAGTGTAAAAGTCTTCCTATTTCTCCACATCCTCTCCAGCACCTGTTGTTTCCTGACTTTTTAATGATCGCCATTCTAACTGGTGTGAGATGGTATCTCATTGTGGTTTTGATTTGCATTTCTCTGATGGCCAGTGATGATGAACATTTTTTCATGTGTTTTTTGGCTGCATAAATGTCTTCTTTTGAGAAGTGTCTGTTCATATCCTTTGCCCACTTTTTGATGGGGTTGTTTGTTTTTTTCTTGTAAATTTGTTTGAGTTCATTGTAGATTCTGGATATTAGCTCTTTGTCAGATGAGTAGGTTGTGAAAATTTTCTCCCATTTTGTAGGTTGCCTGTTCACTCTGATGGTAGTTTCTTTTGCTGTGCAGAATCTCTTTAGTTTAATTAGATCCCATTTGTCAATTTTGGCTTTTGTTGCCATTGCTTTTGGTGTTTTAGACTTGATGTCCTTGCCCATGCCTATGTCCTGAATGGTAATGCCTAGGTTTTCTTCTAGGGTTTTTATGGTTTTAGGTCTAACGTTTAAGTCTTTAATCCATCTTGAATTGATTTTTGTATAAGGTGTAAGGAAGGGATCCAGTTTCAGCTTTCTACATATGGCTAGCCAGTTTTCCCAGCACCATTTATTATTAAATAGGGAATCCTTTCCCCATTGCTTGTTTTTGTCAGGTTTGTCAAAGATCAGATAGTTGTAGATATGCGGCGTTATTTCTGAAGGCTCTGTTCTGTTCCATTGATCTATATCTCTGTTTTGGTACCAGTACCATGCTGTTTTGGTTACTGTAGCCTTGTAGTATAGTTTGAAGTCAGGTAGTGTGATGCCTCCAGCTTTGTTCTTTTGGCTTAGGATTGACTTGGTGATGCGGGCTCTTTTTTGGTTCCATGTGAACTTTAAAGTAGTTTTTTCCAGTTCTGTGAAGAAAGTCATTGGTAGCTTGATGGGGATGGCATTGAATCTGTAAATTACCTTGTGCAGTATGGCCATTTTCACGATATTGATTCTTCCTACCCATGAGCATGGAATGTTCTTCCATTTGTTTGTATCCTCTTTTATTTCCTTGAGCAGTGGTTTGTAGTCCTCCTTGAAGAGGTCCTTCACATCCCTTGTAAGTTGGATTCCTAGGTATTTTATTCTCTTTGAAGCAATTGTGAATGGGAGTTCACTCATGATTTGGCTCTGTGTTTGTCTGTTATTGGTGTATAAGAATGCTTGTGGTTTTTGTGCATTGATTTTGTATCCTGAGACTTTGCTGAAGTTGCTTATCAGCTTAAGGAGATTTTGGGCTGAGACAATGGGGTTTTCTAGATATACAATCATGTCATCTGCAAACAGGGACAATTTGACTTCCTCTTTTCCTAATTGAATGCCCTTTATTTCCTTCTCCTGCCTGATTGTCCTGGCCAGAACTTCCAACACTATGTTGAATAGGAGTGGTGAGAGAGGGCATCCCTGTCTTGTCCCAGTTTTCAAAGGGAATGCTTCCAGTTTTTGCCCATTCAGTATGATATTGGCTGTGGGTTTGTCATAGATAGCTCTTATTATTTTGAAATACGTCCCATCAATACCTAATTTCTTGAGAGTTTTTAGCATGAAGGGTTGTTGAATTTTGTCAAAGGCCTTTTCTGCATCTATTGAGATAATCATGTGGTTTTTGTCTTTGGTTCTGTTTATATGCTGGATTACATTTATTGATTTGCGTATATTGAACCAGCCTTGCATCCCAGGGATGAAGCCCACTTGATCATGGTGGATAAGCTTTTTGATGTGCTGCTGGATTCGGTTTGCCAGTATTTGATTGAGGATTTTTGCATCAATGTTCATTAAGGATATTGGTCTAAAATTCTCTTTTTTGGTTGTGTCTCTGCCCGGCTTTGGTATCAGGATGATGCTGGCCTCATAAAATGAGCTAGGGAGGATTCCCTCTTTTTCTATTGATTGGAATAGTTTCAGAAGGAATGGTACCAGTTCCTCCTTGTACCTCTGGTAGAATTCGGCTGTGAATCCATCTGGTCCTGGACTCTTTTTGGTTGGTAAGGTATTGATTATTGCCACAATTTCAGATCCTGTTATTGGTCTATTCAGAGATTCAACTTCTTCCTGGTTTAGTCTTGGGAGGGTGTATGTGTCGAGGAATTTATCCATTTCTTCTAGATTTTCTAGTTTCTTTGCATAGAGATGTTTGTAGTATTCTCTGATGGTAGTTTGTATTTCTGTGGGATTGGTGGTGATATCCCCTTTATCATTTTTTATTGCATCTATTTGATTCTTCTCTCTTTTTTTCTTTATTAGTCTTGCTAGCGGTCTATCAATTTTGTTGATCCTTTCAAAAAACCAGCTCCTGGATTCATTAATTTTTTGAAGGGTTTTTTGTGTCTCGATTTCCTTCAGTTCTGCTCTGATTTTAGTTATTTCTTGCCTTCTGCTAGCTTTTGAATGTGTTTACTCTTGCTTTTCTAGTTCTTTTAATTGTGATGTTAGGGTGTCAATTTTGGATCTGTCCTGCTTTCTCTTGTGGGCATTTAGTGCTATAAATTTCCCTCTACACACTGCTTTGAATGCATCCCAGAGATTCTGGTATGTTGTGTCTTTGTTCTCGTTGGTTTCAAAGAACATCTTTATTTCTGCCTTCATTTCGTTATGTACCCAGTAGTCATTCAGGAGCAGGTTGTTCAGTTTCCATGTAGTTGAGCGGTTTTGAGTGAGATTCTTAATCCTGAGTTCTAGTTTGATTGCACTGTGGTCTGAGAGATAGTTTGTTATAATTTCTGTTCTTTTACATTTGCTGAGGAGAGCTTTACTTCCAAGTATGTGGTCAATTTTGGAATAGGTGTGGTGTGGTGCTGAAAAAAATGTATATTCTGTTGATTTGGGGTGGAGAGTTCTGTAGATGTCTATTAGGTCTGCTTGGTGCAGAGCTAAGTTCAATTCCTGGGTGTCCTTGTTGACTTTCTGTATCGTTGATCTGTCTAATGTTGAGAGTGGGGTGTTAAAGTCTCCCATTATTAATGTGTGGGAGTCTAAGTCTCTTTGTAGGTCACTCAGGACTTGCTTTATGAATCTGGGTGCTCCTGTATTGGGTGCATATATATTTAGGATAGTTAGCTCTTCTTGTTGAATTGATCCCTTTGCCATTATGTAATGGCCTTCTTTGTCTCTTTTGATCTTTGTTGGTTTAAAGTGTTTTATCAGAGACTAGGATTGCAACCCCTGCCTTTTTTTGTTTTCCATTTGCTTGGTAGATCTTCCTCCATCCTTTTATTTTGAGCCTATGTGTGTCTCTGCATGTGAGATGGGTTTCCTGAATACAGCACACTAATGGATCTTGACTCTTTATCCAATTTGCCAGTCTGTGTCTTTTAATTGGAGCATTTAGTCCATTTACATTTAAGGTTAATATTGTTATGTGTGAATTTGATCCTGTTATTATGATGTTAGCTGGTTATTTTGCTCGTTAGTTGATGCAGTTTCTTCCTAGTCTCGATGGTCTTTACATTTTGGCATGATTTTGCAGCAGCTGGTATTGGTTGTTCCTTTCCATGTTTAGCGCTTCCTTCAGGAGCTCTTTTAGGGCAGGCCTGGTGGTGACAAAATCTCTCAGCATTTGCTTGTCTGTAAAGGATTTTATTTCTCCTTCACTTGTGAAGCTTAGTTTGGCTAGATTTGAAATTCTGGGTTGAAAATTCTTTTCTTTAAGAATGTTGAATATTGGCCCCCACTCTCTTCTGGCTTGTAGGGTTTCTGCCGAGAGATCCGCTGTTAGTCTGATGGGCTTCCCTTTGAGGGTAACCTGACCTTTCTCTCTGACTGCCCTTAACATTTTTTCCTTCATTTCAACTTTGGTGAATCTGACAATTATATGTCTTAGAGTTGCTCTTCTCGAGGAGTATCTTTGCAGCATTCTCTGTATTTCCTGAATCTGAATATTGGCCTGCCTTGCTAGATTGGGGAAGTTCTCCTGGATAATATCCTGCAGAGTGTTTTCCAACTTGGTTCCATTCTCCCCATCACTTTCAGGTACACCAATTAGACGTAGATTTGGTCTTTTCACTTAGTCCCTTATTTCTTGGAGGCTTTGCTTGTTTCTTTTTATTCTTTTTTCTCTAAACTTCCCTTCTCGCTTCATTTCATTCATTTCATCTTCCATCGCTGATACCCTTTCTTCCAGTTGATCGCATCGGCTCCTGAGGCTTCTGCATTCTTCACGTAGTTCTCGAGCCTTGGTTTTCAGCTCCATCAGCTCCTTTAAGCACTTCTCTGTATTGGTTATTCTAGTTATACATTCTTCTAAATTTTTTTCAAAGTTTTCAACTTCTTTGCCTTTGGTTTGAATGTCCTCCCCTAGCTCGGAGTAATTTGATCTTCTGAAGCCTTCTTCTCTCAGCTCATCAAAGTCATTCTCCGTTCAGCTTTGTTCCGTTGCTGGTGAGGAACTGCGTTCCTTTGGAGGAGGAGAGGTGCTCTGCTTTTCAGAGTTTCCAGTTTTTCTGCTCTGTTTTTTCCCCATCTTTGTGGTTTTATCTACTTTTGGTCTTTGATGATGGTGATGTACAGATGGGTTTTTGGTGTGGGTGTCCTTTCTGTTTGTAGTTTTCCTTCTAACAGACAGGACCCTCAGCTGCAGGTCTGTTGGAGTACCCAACCGTGTGAGGTGTCAGTCTGCCCCTGCTGGGGGGTGCCTCCCAGTTAGGCTGCTCGGAGGTCAGGGTCAGGGACCCACTTGAGGAGGCAGTCTGCCCATTCTCAGATCTCCAGCTGCATGCCGGGAGAACCACTGCTCTCTTCAAAGCTGTCAGACAGGGACATTTAAGTCTGCAGAGGTTACTGCTGTCTTTTTGTTTGTCTGTGCCCTGCCCCCAGAGATGGAGCCTACAGAGGCAGGCAGGCCTCCTTGAGCTGTGGTGGGCTCCACCCAGTTCGAGCTTCCCGGCTGCTTTGTTTACCTAAGCAAGCCTGGGCAATGGCAAAGCCCCTCCCCCAGCCTCGCTGCCACCTTGCAGTTTGATCTCAGACTGCTGTGCTAGCAATCAGCGAGACTCCATGGGCATAGGACCCTCTGAGCCAAGTGTGGGATATAATCTCCTGGTGTGCCATTTTTTAAGCCCGTTGGAAAAGCACAGTATTCGGGTGGGAGTGACCCGATTTTCCAGGTGCCATCTGTCACCCCTTTCTTTGACTAGGAAAGGGAACTCCCTGAGCCCTTACGCTTCCCAAGTGAGGCAATGCCTCGCCCTGCTTCGGCTCGCGCACGGTGCGTGCACCCACTGACCTGTGCCCACTGTCTGGCACTCCCTAGTGAGATGAACCCAGTACCTCAGATGGAAATGCAGAAATCACCCGTCTTCTGTGTCACTCATGCTGGGAGCTGTAGGCTGGAACGCTTCCTATTCGGCCATCTTGGCTCCTCCTTCAACCGTTATTCTAAGTGACGTAAATAATTGAAAAGTCTGCCAAAAGAAGGAAGACATTGAGCATACAAAATGCATCTCATGTGCTTTGGGGCATTAATCTCACTACTTGAGGCTCATAATTTGCACTTGGACATAGTTCACTGTGTGAGCCAAATAAAATGTACACTGGCATCTAATATTTAACAATACGTGGACATGTATATAAGCATAAGCCTGTTTACTGTTGAGCTGCACGGTAATTGAGCTTCAATAACCATAATCAATAGTACTGTTACAGAGTTAAGCCAATTTTCTTTTCTTTTCTCACTCTGTTAGCCTCTAAATGTGTATTATCATTGAAATATCATTGACTGTTCTTCACCTCATGCTCAAGTGATTAAATGCAAATTAAAAGGCAAAAATCCACAATTGTTCTTCCCGGGACATGGGGTGCCTCCCATCACTCCACACACTCCATGTTGAAATAACCTACATGTGAATGAATCAAACAAGTGAAGTACTGTGTGCTCAAATAGCAATAGCCTAATAAGGTGGCAAGCAGATAGATTCTGAAACTATAATTGCTTTGGGAGAGGAGCGTTTTAATGGTGAGGCATAAGAAACAATCACCAAATAAAGGCTTCTAAGAAAAGTGCAGACACCATCCTAATTGCATAAAAACAGGAGGGCTTACATGGTCAATAATAGGCTTTTTGTTGCAGTCATTTTCTATCAGGCTTATTCCATTCTTTTTGTGAGTATTTTCATACTAAAGGAGAGGTGTACCTTTCTCAATGGAATAAATTGTGCAGTGAACAATTATGAACAGAAATAGTAAGTCAATAGAAATAAAGTTGGTGAAACCTTTATTTCAGAGAATGCAATCTCAATGATTGCAAGCATGAAAAGAGAAACATTTGTGACTTGTATATCGAGTCATGCAAGCTTGATTAGGCCAACAGGAGCCACCATGAGACATGCACTGGAGGGGATGCAGAAGCCCGGGGCCCGGACCAAAGCCAGAATGAGCTTTCACCCACCACTTCTAGGAATGAGTTCCACCATCATCCTACTGGTTGGGGAGGGACAGAGGTGCATTAATCATGGTAGAACAACACTATCATTGTACTTGAACATTATTTCAAGTGTGCCATGTGTCTCGCTGTGTGTGGCAGGATGCCATTCTCATTCTTCCTTCCTTTTGTTTCTTTCCATACGCTGGTGATCTAAAGTTATGCAATAAATGGCAATCAGCATCAGCAAGACACAATTTTCCTTGTCTTTTTGATGACTTTTGCTCAAAGTGTGGACAACAGACCAGCAACATTGGCATCACATGGGTGCTTGATAGAAATGTAGGCCCTTGGGTCCCACCCCAAACCTACTGAATCAAAGTCTGTATCTTAACAAGATCCCAAGTGATTCCTATGCTGTGGATAGGCCACTCTATAGAATATGGGCTGGGCACGGTGGCTCATGCCTGTAATCTCAGGACTTGGGTGGGGCGAGGCAGGTGGATCACAAGGTCAGGAGTTCGAGACAAGCCTGGCCAGCATGGTGAAACCCCATCTCTACTAAAAAAGAAAATACAAAAAATTAACTGGGCATGGTGGTGCATGCCTGTAATCCCAGCTACTCAGGAGGCTGAGGCAGGAGAATCACTTTAACCCAGGAGGTGGAGGTTGCAGTGAGCCGAGATTGCACCACTGCCCTCCAGCCTGGGTGTTAGAGTGAGACTCTGTCTTAAAAAAAAAAAAAATGAAGCACCTTCTGTGGCTCTCAGAAGGCACTATCTCTTCTAGGATAGAGCCAGGAGTGAAGTCTTCACAACCTTCACGACATGAGGCACCTGCTAGATGGAGCCAGGACACTGGGATGAGAGAAGCAGGGAGGAAAGAGAAATGGAGGGAGACAAATGTAGACGGGCCTCTCAGGTGCACACTGATGCTGGCTCTGAATGCACTGATTGGTGACTCATGAGATAAATAACACTTTGCACCATTCTCTGGACTTTTCTAAAAGTGCATTGACTCGGCGTGTGCTATTTTATGTTGTTATGAGGCACAATGACTTTTCTTTCGAGTTTTCTGAGAGTAACTTAGCTTTGTTTAAAAATGGTAGTTTGGCACTAAGTGCCCATATTTTGCTGACTCTCACTGAGGCCTGTAGGTGCAAGACCCAAGCCCCCTGCAATGGCTCCCCCAAGACTATTTGGGGGGGTTCTGCAAGTGACTTATACGTGTGCTCCCAAACAATTACTGTGTGGCATCTGGATGACGTCATGGCCTCTTCTGGGTAGACGCGTCATTTCTAGGGAGAGTTGCCCATGTTGGGCATGGCTGTTACTTTTTTTGGGTTCCACTGTGCCCAAAGGCCCTATAGCCCCTGCTGACCAGATCCTCCACCACCAATGCCAGAGCCCCTAGGGGGCCAGAGCCAGATGGAAAGGGTATACACTGTCAGAGAGCTACCAAAGCTTGGCTATGGCCAAGTCACTTACTGCTTTGAGACTTGTTTTCCCATTTATAGTAAAGAACAGTGACTTCTACCTTGCAGCGTGGGTATATGGATAAGCAAAGGACCTGGCCCAGAATGGGCATATTAGCTTGCTAGTGTGGTCATGATTTTTACCTTGAATACATTTTCAATGGACTTTATTTGACTAGGCTCTAGGAAGCTATTCGAAGGCCCTTTTTACTGTCAAGAGCATGTGGATTTCTGCGGGCTGCAGGATGTAGGCTGTGAAGACAATCTGAGAGTGACTTCTAGTAACTCCACTGATCACCAGCATGAATGGGGCTGATCTGGCTGGCTTCCTTCTTGTGCTCCCCGTGAGACCATTCCTGCCTGAGAAAAGAAGGCAATGAAAGAAATGGGGGACCTTGCCCAGGCAATCTCCTCCTGATCTTGTTGTGCCCTCCCCTGCGTGCCATCTGTCCTCCCTGATTCAATTGCCTGCCTTTGAAAACTGGAGCTGCCACTGTTCACATCCTTCAGGCATGATCCAACCACCTCCTCCCTTCCGGCCCAAGTGTTCCCAGTACACTGTCCTCATACATAGACACACACTACAACACACACACCACCTTCACACACAGACACACACACACTACTTTCACACACAGACACACACTACCTTCACACACAGGCACACTCACACTATACTCACATCACCCTCACCCACAGAACCACACATGCACTCATGCCCAGGCTGTGAAAGGAGAGTAAATCTTGGGACCCCCAAATCACGAAGCCAAAGGGAAAAGTCAAGCTGGAAACTATGTCAGGCAAACCTGCCTCTCATTTTATTCCTAAATAAGATATCTACAAAGGTAAAAAAGTCACATACCTCCCTTACAATTTCCCCACAAGAAAATTCCTTGTGAACAAAGGAGAGACAGAACTCAAAGTCACCCCTCTGCTCACCTGGGACAAATGCATACCCAGTGGCTTTTCTGTTCTATCATTTCACTAAGCCAGACTAAGACATAAGTGACTATTCCTGTATCTTGTGTATTCAGTGAAAGGCTAATCAGAGACTCAAAAGAATGCAACCCTTTTTCTCTTATCTACCTATGACCTGGAAGCTCCCTCTCCTGCCTTGAGTTGTCCTGCCTTTCCCGACCAAACCAATGTACATCTTACATGTATTGATTGATGTGTCATATCTCCCTAAAATGTATAAAACCAAGTTGTTCCCTGACCACCTTGTGCACATGTCATCAGGACCCCCTGAGGCTGTGTCACCAGTGTGTCCTTAGCCTTGGCAAAATAAACTTTCTAAATTGTTTGAGATCTGTCTCAGATACTTTTGGGTTCACAAGACACACACATACCATATCATAGGCATACACATACCACCTTCACACCTAGACACACACACATGCACTTATGCATACACAAACACATACCACCCTCAAACACAGACACACACACATGCGCACACACACACCACAGCATACACACACACTCTCACACACACACGAATTGCCTTTCACTGATAACGTTGACCTCCCTTTTATTATTACCAGTCAACCATGGAAATTTGAACATAATGCTTCAGAAAGCTCATAAATAACAGTAATGTAGTTTTTTTTTTCCTGGTTTCAAATCCCAATTTTCAAACTTTACATCAGAACTTAAAAGAAAAAGAATCAATCTCATGATCAAATATAAGACAAATGTGTTTCCCTTAAAAGGCTAGCTCCAAGCCTCAAAGGGCCCCATGATATTGAGAACAATGTTCCATTACAGAGTATTTTCTCTTCCACATTTCCAGGCCTCCTCCCGACCCCTCCTCTCTCTCTGGCTTCTGTTCTGTTCCACCATCCATTGGGCAGAAACAACACTACTATCCATCTACAGGTCATTTGTCTCAAGTTCTTCCATCATTTCCACAAAAGTAGACAGGAGAAAACTAGGAAGAAATGCAGTTGATTATTTATTTATTTATTTATTTTTTGAGATGGAGTCTAGCTCTGTCACCCAGGCTGGAATGCAATGGTGTGATCTCAGCTCACTGCAACCTCTGTCTCCCCAGTTCAAGCGATTCTTCTGCCTCCGCCTCCCAAGTAGCTGGGATTATAGGCGTGTGCCACCACACCTGGCTAATTTTTGTATTTTTAGCAGAGACAAGGTTTCACCATGTTGGCCAGGCTGGTCTCGAACTCCTGACCTCAGGTGATCCACCTGCCTTAGCCTCCCAAAGTGCTGGGATTACAGGCATGAGCCACAGTGCCCAGCCAAATGAAGCTGATTTTATTTAAGTTATGCCATTTAGAATTTGAAGTCTTAGGTTCTGGACCCAGATCTGCTACGGACTAGTTGGGAGATTTGGAAAATATACATAATCTCTCTAAGCCTCAATGTATTCATCCAGCAAAGAGGGTTAATAATATCTACTTGACAAGGTTTGGGATAGGAAAAATGAAATATATTTCTTTTTCTTTTTTTTTTTTCCTTCAGACAGAGTCACACTCTGTCATCCAAGCTGGAGTGCAGTAACACGATCTCAGTTCACTGCAGCCTCAACCTCCTGGGCTCAGGTGATCCTCCCACCTCAGCCTCCCGAGTAGCTGGGACCACAGGCATGCACCACCACATCTGACTAATTTTTGCATTTTTTTTGGTAGAGATGGGGTTTTGCCATGTTGCCCAGGCTGTTCTCAAACTCTTGGGCTCAAGTGATCCACCCACCTCGGCCTCCCAAAGTGCTGGGATTATAGGTGTGAGCCATTGTGTCCAGCCATGAGATACTATGTCTACGAGTACTTGAATATTCCCTGGCACAGGTGATGTATTATTTGTGAAAGTCATTTGTCATCTCTAAGCCAACATGTGTACGTACACACACACACACACACACACACACGTATATAATATACAGTATACTACATATTTTAAGTATAAAAATATATAAATTATAATAAAATATATACTATATAGTATATAGCATTTTACTATAACATATTTTTGCTATTTACTATATTTTACTATTATAATATATAATCTAGAAGAGCAGTGTGTGTGTGTGTCTACATATACACACACTACCCATTTCTTACACCGATTTCTCTAAGGGTCTAAGTCCACAGTCTAATAATTGCTTGTATTTTGTAAGTTTGCAAAATAAATAGCAGCATTTATTTTAACAAAAATTGTCCATTTTATAACTAGAAGCTAAATAGCCCTGAAATGAGAAACTGGGAATATGCTGTTAGGACTATTCAGATCTTTTTTTTTTTTTTTTTTTTTTGAGACAGGGTCTTGGTTTGTCGCCAGGCTGGAGTGGAGTGGCTTGATCTTAGCTCACTGCAACCTCTGCCTCCCGGGTTGAAGAGATTCTCCTGCCTCAGCCTCCCGAGTAGCTGGGACTACATGCACGCGCCACCATGCCCAGCTAATTTTTTTTGTATTTTTAGTAGAGACGGGGTTTCACCATGTTGGCCAGGATGGTCTCGATCTCTTGACCATGTGATCTGCCCGCCTCAGCCTCCCAAAGTGCTGGGATTACAGTCGTGAGCCACCGTGCCCAGTCTCATTTCTTACATATAATAAAACCCTTTAAAAAATTTTTTAAACTAATGCAACTAGAAAAATTCTGCAACTAGAAGTGATTCCTGCCCCTGAATTTCTTCCAGTCAGGTCAATCAACAGATTACTATTAAAGCAGATTTCATTCAGATAAATTTAAAATTGTGAAAAGATCAACACGTGTTTTGGTTTGTTTTTTGGTAATCACATTATAAATTGAACTTCATTCACAAGTATTTTTTTTTCTCAAACTTTAAGAGTGAGCACAAACATCTATTTTCTTTTGTTTTGGTTTTTTCTCTTGAATATCCCATGGAAGTAAAATCGATTTGACATAAAGTTCACCCTTTCTGCCACCTCTAGTCTTATAGTCTGATAGACAAGTCATACGTTTCTTCTCTCAGTTTTAAAAATATTGAACCCCAAGATCCGAGAGTTAATTATATATATTTGATTAGAGTTCTCAGAGAAAGAATCTCAACTCAGAATTGGTGATTTGGCCATAAAATTAGGTGGAAGGGGAAAACACGCTCAGTGGCTCCATTCGGGTGGACCCCACCCAGTCTCTCCCTTGCTGAGGTCTCTTTGGCTTCTAGGAGCAAAATACCCCTAGGTCCCTGGCCAGCTCACACTGGAGCATCCTCTCATGACTTCTTTCTTCCTTTCCTTCCTTTCCTTCCCTTTCTTTCTCTCTCTCTCTCTCCCTCCCTCCCTCCCTCCCTCCCTCCTCTCTCTCTCTTCTCTCTTCTCTCTCTTCTCTCTCTCTCTTTCTTTCTTTCTTTTGAGACGGAGTTTCGCTCTTCTTGCCCAGGCTGGAGTGCAATGGCGCGATCTCGGCTCACTGCAACCTCCGCCTCCCAGGTTCAAGTGATTCTCCTGCCTCGGCGAGTAGCTGGGATTACAGGCATGCACCACCACGCCCAGCTAGTTTGTTGTATTTTTATTAGAGAGGAGGTTTCTCCATGTTGGTCAGACTCGCCTCAAACGCCCGACCTCAGGTAATCCACCAGCCTCGGCCTCCCAAAGTGCTGGGATTGCAGGCGTGAGCCACCGCACCCGGCCCCCATGACTTTTTCTAAGACTAGCATCTGGAAGGCCAGGAGAATGGGTCTTTTAATTAGCAAGCTGTCATTTACATGAGCGGAAATCCACATAGTAGAGTTCCTTGGTTGTCTCACAGCCTAAGGAAGGTTGTTTAGCCTTCTACTATCTTTCTATGCTAACTGCAGAACTGTAACTCGATTAGCATTTTAATTTCAATGGAATTAGTGATCCTGTTTTTGACCTTGTACTCAGAGACCTGCATAATGAGGGGTTAATTTAGCTGGGAGGTATAGATTTTTGCCATAGTCATAACTAATCTATTAGCAGTCTTGGGGGAAAACATTAAAAGCTGAAGGCATGTAGAATTCATGTTCAGGTACCTACAGAAAGCTAGAATTAGAGATGACTTGGGGGAATGGGCTGGGTCTTATGAAATATATCTGCTGTTTCTCAGTTGGAAGGTGAGTTGGAGGGCAAGGCTTCAGGGGTCCTTCATTCTCGCTGACCAATGTGCTTAGGTTTCACTGAGCATGGATGTCTCCTGTCTTCACCGATCTTTCTATCCCAGTGATCCTCGAGACTACACATCCCATTATATAAAAGCCATCTATTGGGCTTTTATGAGCATGGTGGCTCATACCTGTAATCTCAGTACTTTGGGAGGCCAAGATGGGCAGATCAGTTGAGGTCAGGGGTTTGAGACCAGCCTGGCCAATATGGTGAAACCTCGTCTACTAAAAATACAAAAATTAGCCAGGCATGGTGGCATGTGTCTGTAATTCCAGCTACTTGGGAGGCTGAGGCACGAGAATCTCTTGAACCTGGGAGGCAGAGATTGCACTGAGCCGAGGTCGCACCACTGCACTGTAGCCTGGGCAACAGCGCAAGACTCCATCTCAAAAAAAAAAAAAAAAAATGCCATCTATTCAGTATCAACATTATGCTACATTCTCCATGATTTATGGTATGTGGATTTTTCTATGTTGGTAAAAGCTCTTTTTGATGATCCCTTGCAGATTTTTTAATATACAAAACATTGAAATTTTCTTGAAATAACAAAAAGTTAGAAGTTGAATGTTAAAAATACCCATGGCATAATAATAGTGCTGCCATTTTTTGCACTATGAAGGGAAATGTATTGTAGTATAGGATGTTGGCTCTGGACTTCAGAGATCATCTCAACCCTCTCACTTTACAAGTAAGAAACTGGGTCCAGGAAACTGTTCATGATATGCCAGAAGTACTTCCTTGTCTCGAATTCTTCTGACAATTTAATAATTTCATGTGCCATAATTATATAATACAATAATTTCTCATATAAACATTATTTAATAAATATAAATAAATTTATTATAAGTAGTACTTATTTGATGATATGATTTGCCTTATACACTTTTGACAAAGATAAAAACTAAAAAATGTATTATTACACAAAGTGTCTTTCCTCCGCCCAGAAATCAGACTTGACTGAATGGGGCCTGAGTTGTTGGTTTTCTCCCCAGGTTCAAAGCAATAGGAAATGTCCCACTGCTTAGAATAATAAAGCACCTTATTTTTTTAAGAAAAAAAAATTAAATAGCTCACTAGAAACCTTTTCAAAACTGAGATATCATCGATGTAAATAGTTTGTTGAAGAATAAATATTTAAAATAAAAGATTGCTGGATTTCCATTTATCACTACAGTACGGTTCTCAGGACTCTGGAAAAGGAAAATATATCTTTCTCCCAAAATCTGGAGATAAAATTTCACTTGCAATTTTTATGAAAGTTACAAGGTGCTTTAAAAGTTTTGATCAATCCCCCCACTTCCCCTCTCCTATGAGAGACAATTTAGTGAGGGACAAATAGAGGATGATACCCCTGGGGTGAGGGGAGGGAACAGAAGGGCTGAACATGGAGCCTGGCTGGCATTAGCTTGAGGAACCACAGCGTGATTCCCTTTAGAGGAAATAGGGTCAGGGGCTGCAGAGACAAGAAATGGAGGTTCATTGCAGATGAGGGACAGGACCCTCAGGTCTGGAGAGCTCAGTTCTGGTCCCAGTTCCCACACTACCCACCTACTAAGCTTGGGTAAACACCTTCCATGGACCACAGGCTGCAATGATCTACAGGAAAGGGCAGACTGAATGATCTGCCATTTGTATCCCAGCTCTCAAATTTTATGATTCTGTCTCCCAGTCGCCCATTGCTTTCAAGAATGGGGCTGTCTGAAAGCAAGTCTGTCTGAGGGCAGCTGGGAAATTGGAAGATAGAACAAAGATATTAGTTCTATCTTTATTATTTAAAAAACAAAAACAAAACAGGAGCTGCCAAGATTGCAGAAACTTCGAGGAGGACCTACATACAGATTCCTGTCAAACTCCCCATTGAGGAAGCCTGCCTAGTTTCATGGTCCCCATTTGTAAAATAGGAACCTGCGCTAGATGTTTTTATAGTCTTTCTGAGTTCTGTGGGTTTTTTCTTCTTCTTTTTAATAATTCTATGGCTATCCCTTGGCTAGAATTTCAAGGGGATGATGCATCAAAGGAAATAGTTAACTTGACTTTTGGAGTTTAAGTCTTGAATTCTAGAGCTGAAAGGGATGTTTAAACTATCTGATTTAACCTCTGTAACCTAAAGATGAACTAACAGGAGACCCCAAATCTGTGGTTCCTCCAAACCCAGTCTGTCTACTGCTAATTCAAGGCTCTTTTTGATACACATCATTGCTTCACTAACCTCTAACTCCAGGATACCTAGAGCATTTTTGGGGTGAGTAGTTGGGATGTTGTCCTCCCACTACTCGACCACTCTTTCTTATTCCCATCATAATGTTCATCCTATTTGAGAACTTGAAGAAGCTGGCATTGATCAACAGGGAGTCTGTTGACCAAGATGTGGTATCATGAGAGATTCTGTGGGAATGCCAATGCCCCAGGTACCATGGAAGGAGGTGTAAGAGAGTGGGACTAAAAGGCCCAGCTTCTAAAGCTCAGCATTTCTATACACAGGAGCCGCAGATAGACCTAAGCTCATGTCCAAGGTGGAAGGTGCTCTCTAGAGAACACCAAAGGAAACAAAACCAGTTAATTATTAAATCATCTTATCATTAAACACAGATACAAACATCCTAATCAATATATTAAAACATTAACATACAAAAATAAAAAGCAATTATGACCGAAGTTGGAATGATTCCAGAATTGCATGTTTTGATTAATATCAAAATTGATTACCTAATGGCTCTAGACTTTATCAATGCTTGCCAACACAAAAAAAGAAAGAAAATCAGACATTGGGTGCTTCCTAATGGAAGAGCACCACACCACTGATGGCACATCCATGTCAAAAAATTTTTAAAAATCAAAGCGGAATCAAATCAAGCCTCTAGATTCAGCCACTAATTAAGAAATACAGAGGAACTAAGAAGCATGTTAAATGACATTAAGGGGATGCAATCAGAAAATCCAGATTGTGGATAATGCAACAGGATATTTGGGGTTTTTAAAACAAATAAATTACAAAAACATTTCTTAGAAAGATGAAGACTGACCTATAGATTAAAAGCGATTTAAAAGGCCTATCAAACAATCCTAGTGTGTAGACCTCATCTGAATCTCTGAATAAAAAAGGCAAAATGTAAAAACAAAACAAAATGAAAATAATTTATAAATAACATTTATAAGACAATTGAAAATTTGAATAAATACTAGTTATTTGATATTAATGAGTCATTAAAATTTTTTATGTACAAACGGTATTATAATTATGTTTTCAAAAAGAATCATACCTTTTAAAGATACATATTGAAATATTTATAGAAGAAATTATATGTTTTATAAAAACAGGGAAAAGGATGGGATATAGATGTAGAAAGTTTAGTTGTGAGTTGATAACTGTTAAAATTAGATGATGACTATATGGTACTCATTATATTATTTTGTCCACATTTGTATGTTTTTGAAATTCCCTTATTACATTGCATAGCTAAATTTGTTATAATTTTTCTTTTGATAGAAGCAAAACTAATCTAATAAAGCTTTTAGAAAATGAAGTGCTGTATGGAGAGGTTTCTTAAACAGAATGCAAATAGCATAACTGTAAACAAAAAGCTGGACAAGCTGGACTACTTCACAAACAGGAACTTACATTCATCAAACGATACAACTGAGAGTGGCAAGGCATGTGACAAAGTAGAAGGAAATAGGTGCTTCATTTAGAATAGACACAGAATTTCTACAACTCAATAAGGAAGAAAGAAACAATTGTGCATACATATTTAGCTATCTGTGTTTCATTTTGAGAATAAATCCACACCTGCTCAGAATCATTTGAGCTTCCGGGTCACAGTTTGTGTTTCCTACCCGAAGGATATTCCCTACTCCTGAATTCTACCAGTAGCTTCGAAATACGGAATTTGATAGCACAGTGATAGTAAAGACAAATAAATAGAAGCTCAAGTCACTTCTGTTCTATTATCCCTATTATCTAATAGAATAACTCTATTAGAGTTATTCTTTGGGATTAAAATTTAAAACAATGAAAGAGTGCAAACTATGGAGTGTAATTTTGCTTGGTAAGTGTAAATTTTACCTCTGTACAAATGATTTTTACTGAATTTTAATACTATTTTAATTTTTAGTTTATTTTAAAACTAAAGGACAAATCAAGAAAATTATTGATAATTATGCAATTACTTCTGAAACTCATTTTGTCACATAAAGTGTCATATGATCCTCTCTAAGTGTCAGATATTCTAGGTATTCTATTGCCTTGGTATCAAAAGACTTCTAAAAAAATTATAAAATGTTATTGAGATATTAAAGACCTAGACAAGTGGAAGTTAAAGAAGTGAAAGGCAATTATTATAAATATATTAATTCTTCCCAAGTCAATTTGTAAAGTCAAAAAAATCTCTCTTTTTTTAAAGAAACATAAAAGAATATAAATAAATTTCAATACTTTAAAATTAAGAGTACGTGTTTACCAAAAGTCACTACTAAGAAATTTAAAAGATAAGCCATAGAATTAGACAAATATTTGAAACATGTATAATTGACAACTAACTCATAACCAGAATATAATAATAAATCAAGAAACAAAATGTTGAACAAAAGAATCCAAAAAGCTAGACACAAAATAATACATACTGCATGATTCCATTTATATGAAGTATAAAAATAGAAGCAAATGTAAACTCTAGTTTTTTAGGGATGCCTTCTTAAGTGGTAAAACCATAAAGAAAAGGAAGGAAGCAGTTACTCTAGGAGTCAGAGAGCCGATGTCTTTGGGCTTCTGGGAGCTGGCAACCGTCTATTCCTGACCTCCATGGTGGTTGTATTGGTGTGTGCTTTGTGATAATTTATTGAACTGCACATATGTATACACTCCTCTTGTTCTGTGTTCACAGTCATAACTTTTTTTGCATTCGTGGAAGATAATAAAGGGGTGAAAGTGAGTCTATCCAGATTTCCCTTTCAAGAAACTGGGCTAAAGAGTCTGCCATAGCCCCTTGAATGAATCAGCCATCCCACGGAAACTTATGCCAATGCCCTGTTGTAGGCCCGTTTAGTCATATGTGGTTCTTTTTTGGTAGACATCAATAGTATGATAGTGAAAAATATTACCCCTCCTATGATGATGTCTTTTCAGGTAAATTATCTATCATGTAACAATCCTTCAAACACCACTCACCACCACCACCACTCACCACCACCACATCCTCTCCAGAATTCTTCCAGGCCAGGCTTGTTCTCTCTCTGCTCCTCATTCCCCATCTCTCTTGGTTTCTCTGCCCATATTGGACTTATACATTGGTTGTTTTCCACCCAGACCTTTAGACAGGTAATGGTTTTGAGCTGTCTATCTACTCTTTGGCTCTGAGTCCTCTCTCATATGACAGTTCTGCTTGTGAGCCCTCCCAGTGCTCTCTATCTTAGGTGGAAATGTTTATACTACCCACCAAAGAGAAGTGTGGAAATTGTGTTCAATGGGATTGAAACCTTGCAACAGCACAGATGTTTTAGATATATAGGTCTAACATCATATATGAATTATGCACAAGATGGAAGTATTCTAGTCTAATGGACATTCTGGTCTTGACTAGGTGTTCTTTAAACCTATTAGCTCACAAATTTAAACAAAGCAAACATTTTATTTAAAAGTAGTCAAATCCCATTGCTAAAGCATTTTGGAGATTAATTCTTATTTCTAGCAGTTGAGTGTATAAACAGGTTTTATTTAGTATTCATTAAGTATATGATCTACTGTTATTATTTATGCTCAAGAAGAGGTAGTGGAAGCAATATCTCTGTCTAAAAATGTGCATCCTTCAATAAAAGCCTATATAAAACATCTTAAATACTTCATATCAGTTTTTAGTTTATTTTATTGGAAATCTTTGCTTTTCCCTATAAATTAAAAATAAAGTAGCCTTCATTTTTAATTTCCACCTGAAAATCACTTCCTCAGTATGGATAGAATGACTGATTCCAAAACAGGTACTTTAAAGTCCTGAAATTGTCAATGTTTATGTTTTTATAAATGACAAATGACGACAGTGTTCTAGGCACATACAACTCATTGTTTGATGTTTTGTTTTAATCCAGTTTTCAGTTGACACAAGCTCTCTATAAGGGAAAAAATGAAAGAATCTTTCTCCCTGGAAAGCTAAATATTTTAGTCAGGTTTAAAAAGTATGTGTGTGAGCCCCACAGCAGTCGTAAGGAATGATAAACGCTCTTCTCCAAGGATTTGGTGTAGAGGGGTCATTTTTCGTCTCTATTATTTTTCCGTCATTTCTTGAAAAATCCCAGCCTGTTGCCTTTTCGTGTTATTAGGTGTGCCTTTTTTTCCCCAAGATTTCTGGGCTGTTGCTATAGGAAAAATATTGATGAAATTTAGCCTCATGTCCTTTTGCTCCTGGATTTCAAGTGGGGAACTACATAGCACTGCCCATGTCTCTCACGTCAACTACCTTGGGCCTTGTTTGTTTATGCCTAAAAGGAGGATCTCCTCTGTACTTTGGCCAACCTACTTATCTTGAACATTGCTAATTTCATCAATGAGTGTCCATTTCTCCATTCCTATAATCCATTTCCATTGGAATGAAGACTAAAGTTGTGAACTGAATTGATATGGCACCATTTAATTACTTTCCTTCCAAATTCAGTCAGTAATGCTAGCAGAGTGCTTAAGGATGCTGTAACATAACTAGCAAGGGTATATTTTATTGATTTATTCATTGATTCCTCAACTATTTATTGTTACCTACCATTTTGCAGTCACTGGGCTGGATACCAAGGATACAATGTGGAAAAGATAGACATGGTCCCTGCCCTCGGAGGACAACCAGCTTGTTTCAGACCCAGAAAAGTTCATACAACATCTCAAGGGCATGATAAATGTGGAAGTACAGGATATTATTGGAGCACCAGGAGGATTACTGGATCCAGCGTTAGGGAATCTAAGAAGGCTTCCTGAAAGAAGTTAATAGCTAAATAAAGATGTAAACATGAATAGAAATTAAGCAGGCAATGGCCGGGCGCGATGGCTCACGCTTGTAATCCCAGCACTTTGGGAAGTCAAGGAGGGCAGATTTCTTGAGCCAAGGAGTTTTAGGCCAGCCTGGGAAACATGGCAAAACCCCTGAGGGAGATGAGAGGAAGGAACCGGTGAGGCAGATAGTTAGGACAAGGTTCTTGGTAGAGGTCCTTCCGACAAAAGAGCAGCCTGGGAGAAATCAAGCTGCAAGTGCAGATAAGGAAGCAAGATCCAACAGCTTTGTCTCTTATGCAACCAGTGTGCTCTGCCTACACACGGTGGGCTTCAGTGAGCACATTCCTTTCCTTTTTGGGCATACGCAGATAAGGGAACTTGCATAGGGGGCTTGCTTAAGACAGACCTGCAGTTTTATAGATAAGGAAAGTTACACAGAACCAGACATGTCTGCAGTGGAAAATTCCATCTCCTGACACATGCACAGTAAGGAAAATAAAACAACATGGAGTAATTCAGGCTAAAGACCTGCATGCACACTAGAGGGACGGAGTGGAGATAATAAGAATTTGCACCGTTTCTTCCTGCCTTATGCAAATGAAACAGCCTGCTCCATTAGCTTGTTCATAAAAGCCTCTGCATTCAACTGTGAAATGAAAACCCTCTCAGGCCCTCAGGCCCCCTCTCTGCTGCAGAGAGCTTTCCTCTTTCACTTAGTAAACTTTCACTCCAACCTCACCCTTGGTGTCCACACTCCTTAATTTTCTTGGTTGTGAGACAAAGAACTCCAGGTAACACCTCAGACAATAAGACTGCTTCAGTGACCCTAGACTACTTCACCCCATCTCTACAAAAAATACAAAAATTAACCAGGCATGGTGGCACCGCCTGTAGTCCCAGCTACTTGGGAGGCTGGGATGGGAGGATGGCTTGAGCCCAGGAGGTGGAGGCTGCAGTGAGCCAAGATTGGACCACTGCACTCCAGCATGGGTGACAGAAGGGGACCCTGTCTCAAGAAACTAAATTAATTAAGCAGGCAAAACAAGGTGACCAAAAGGATCTATCTGTTCAAAGGCCTAGAACCAAAAAGAGAATATTAGCTACTTCGACAGGAATGTGGCTATCAGGGGAGACATGGTGTAAGAGCAGCACACCAAAGGTGAGATTTTGAAGGACAGAATATGTAGGATTTTGTAAGCTGAGTTGAAATCTTTGGGACTGATTCTCCTTGTGATAGGAAGCCATGGGAGTGTTTTCAGCATGTGAACCCAGGCTACCTCTGGTACTGGAAGTGATTTCAGAGGAACAGAATCTCAACCGATGGGTCTCTCAATTGGTGACAATTCCATGTCAATCTCACTGGAGTCCTCTGGGGCTGTCATTAGAAAGCTGCTTGATGAATTTTAGTCGCTAGAAGATCCTGTGTCACCCTCTGAGCTGATGAATGGCACAAAGAATGAGCCAGGTGGAGGCTGAGCTTTGGGATTATCTCTGTTTCACTCAGCTGGGCATTTTCCTCCTGGGCACTCATGTTTACAGTGAATTTGGAGGACAGAAACTAGTGATTAGCTGTGTCTGTGCTGGAAATGTTCAGTACATTGGACAAGTTGTTCTTCCTGAAGCATCACTAGTAGCTGCTGAAAATATCACATTGCTGAGTAGAGAAAGGATTGTTTATGAGGCTTGTTGTTTCCCAGCCTCCTGGTTTTCTGTGCCCTGAAGCTTTGGGAGGCAGGTCTTTGTTCAGGACGCAGGGGTGCAGGACCTCTAGGGTATGCAGTGAGCACAGTCACATAATATTTTGTTCTTCACCAAATTTCTAGGCTTCAATTGAGCACAAACTCCAGTGCAGACCCTCATCACACTGCCATTACTATACAGTTAAGGGACAGTCCTAACTGGTGTCCTGCCTCAACACCACCCCAACTTTGAGGGGTCAGCTCCCTAGAGCATCAGTTTTATTCTACTTCAAAAAGTATCAAGTGGTTCCTCAGCATCGGGAATAGTAGATCTCAGCTCTCCCGGCATGTTAGAGTCACCTGAGGAGATTTAAAAAATATCAATGACCCATGTTCACTATATGGATGATGAGACTGACAGAAGCCCAAACCTCAGCATCACAAAATATATCCTTGTAACAAACATTCACATGTCGCCCCTGAATCTAAAATAAAAGTTAAAAAAAATACTGTGGAGTTCTGACATGACAAGTAAGCAACATGAGGAAGAGGCCCCAGGCCGGGGAAAGGCCCCAGGTGGGGAAGAACAATGAATAATTGTTCTGAGAGATGGCTAATCACAAACAACTTGCAGGCACAAAGACTTCGGTGGTCACAATGACCTTGTTCTGCATGCAGCCCCCACCAGCATGACCTTATAAAACTTCCCTCCAGCCTGTGCCTTTTTGCAGACAGCCCCTTCTCTGCTGTCCTGCCTGTTGCAACCTTACCAAGTATTATCATTCCTTTTCTAATAATTCTGCCTTTCTTTACCTATGACTGTCTTGGTAAATTCTTTAACTGCCTGCACCACCGGCTCCAGATAGTCACTACCTGCAACACAGACCACTTGAATCAGCATCTCAGAATTTTTTTTATATATCTCCTAAAGTTATTTTAATGTGTAGCAGGGTTGAGAATTATTGACCTACCTAACAGAATCCAAACTCCTTAATTTGGTATTCAGAATCCTCCAGAATCTGGTCCTGACATGGATCTCATAACCTATCTCAGTGACCTTGCATGTACCTCAAGAGGCCCCACTTCTGAGCTAAGGGTCATAACAGAATCCCACCTAGAATGCCCCTCACTCTGGTCTGCTATGTCTGTTTGTCCAGATCTGCCTGCTCTCCAAGTCCTTCACCAAGGCTCAACTCAAGTCCTTCACCAAGGCTCAACTCCTCTCAGGTCCTCCAGCCTATCATGACCCTCCTTTCTGACTTTCTAAACACTTCATTTTCCAAAAATACAACTTTATGGTAAGTCATAATGGTGACTTATATTATGATTGGTCTTTTATATTCTTATTTATTTTTGCTTGCATGTATGTCTCTTCTCTCCAACTCAATTCTTGAACATTCTCTCAGGGCAAAAGATCTTGTAGGTGGTTGGTGAAAATTTATAGAATAAAAGAATGAATGAACACAATAACAGCAACTTTTTAAAAGTCCCTCAAATCAATTGGGGGTAGGGAGAGTGTGAGGAAAGAGTTAACACAGCAGGTCTGATTGCTTAGTTTTGCCATCTCCAAAGGCACCTGGAACCCATGATTTACCATCCTCTGGGAATGTGGCCCTCAAAGAATTCTTTATGCTAGTGACAGATGATTTTGTTAGAAATACCTGGATCAATGAACCATGCCACACCAACTTGTCAGGTTGCTTCGCACAAACATCAAGATTGATAATGTGTAGCTACTTCTACTGTTGGAGTCTTGAGTTTCTGTTGCCATGGCTGCATACATACTAGGAGATGCCTACGTGACCAGTCTCCTACCCACGACATCCCCACCCAGACTCACGGAGGCTTCCCTAGGTGGAGATACACCACATATGTCCCTGTATTTCATTGCTAGAGAGAACATTTCAATGTAGTCTTAGAAGGGAAATGACATGAAAGTCTGTGTCTGTGCATATCTTTCTCTTGTTACCTTTCTTCTGTGTCATTTGCTGTAATAAAGCAGACCTGTGAATATCAGATATTTTTAAAAAATGAATGAATGGAATAAGTGAAATGAACAATGAAATGAAATGGCCAGGGGATACATGCATTTTCTATTTTCCAGTGCATAATGGCTGAATCTGTATTGAGATGCATTTACCTTAAACTGTAAAACCCACTCTGGCAAAGATGGGCTTTGCTTGGAAAAATATTTAACATATATGATTAAAATAGAATTTAATGAGTGCCTGAGTGTTTTAATGCTTGGTTACCTCTTCGCTCACTTAGCTCCAAAGAGACACTTCTTGGACACAAATTCTTCTCACCAAATTGTTTGCCAAGCAAGCCTACTTCCCTGTTGCCTGTCATACTTACCTGGTATAGTATATTCAGAACACTTTCCTCCCAGGCGAAAATGATGCTGCAGTTTCATTCAACATCTCCCTCAAAGGCAAGTTGAATATATGCCAGCATGTGGGTCACCTGTCTGCACACACAGGTAGTAGAGAATGGCTCAAATAAGAAAGAAAAGAGCAGGCAGGAGTGGTGGCTTATGCCTGTAATCCCAGCACTTTGGCAGGCAAAGGTAGGTGGATGGTTTAAGCCCAGGAGTGCAAGTCCAGCCTGGGCATCACAGCGAGACCCCATCTCTACAAAATATAAAAAAATTAGCTGGGCATGGTGGTACCTGCCTATAGTCCCAGCTACTCAGAAGGCTAAGGTGGAAGGATCACTTGAACCCAGGAGATCAAGGCTGCAGTGAGCCAAGATCGTGCCACTGCACTCCAGTCTGGGTGACAGAGCAAGACCCTGTCTGAAAGAAAAAGTAACAAAGGAAGGAAGGAAGGAAGGGGAGAGAAGAAAGGAAAAGAAAGAGAGAGAGGAAAAAAAAGAGAAAAGAGAAAGAAAAAGAAGGAAGGAAGGAAGGAAAAGAAAGAGAGAAAGAGGAAAAAAAGAAAAAAGAAAAAGAAGGAACGAACGAAGGAAGGAGAGAGAAAGAAAGAAAGAAAGAAGGAACGAATGAACTGAGTTTGACAGTGTCTGCTAAGGAAGGCTAATGACACCAGTGGTGGGAAAAAGCAAGACAGCCATACTTTGGAATCTGAATTCTGTTCACATTATGCACACTTTTGATAGAGAGAACATGGCAGGAACAGAAAAGAAGCTGGTGATAACTTGACTGGTGTGACCTCTGAGAGTGAAGAGGGGAGATAGGTGAGAGAACAAGTGTTATAACAGTCCCCAGACCTTTGCAAGTTCCTTACTAATGCTCATAATCAATTATCTAAAAATAATTTTGATTTTTAAAAAATCTTCCTTCAACTTCCTTTGTCCTCTGTGTTTCAAGAAGCTGTGGCAGACATGTTTCCTGACATTGACATTTTCATCCGTAGAGAAAGCCTGGGGACTTTGGTAATAGCTGATCACAGGAATCCTGGATGACCGTCATGGGCTTTGTCTCTTTGGTTCTACTCTAATTAGATGATCACAGCCAACTCTCTTGACATATCCACAAGGGGCTGGAGAGCCTTGGCAATGAATCCACCAGTCAAGCAGAGAGCACAAGCGGTTTGGGTCAAAGAGGTAGCTAGAAATCTCACCTTGATGTCACATCATTTGTCTGGAAATTAGTCCACAGGCTTAAAAAGGAGGGTATAAAACTTTGTAGATACATAACATAGATGAACTTTGCCATATTTTATTGTAGGTTAAAAGATCTGGAATTTGAGTTATTTGATAGTAATTTTTAAAAAAAGAATTTTTTCACATAAACCCAGAAATGCTAAGGAAAGCTATAAATAATAAATTTGAGTAAGCCAATCATATTTTGATAGGCTAGAATCACTTGATATTTAAAAGAATTCTACAATGGACATTTTTGCAGTATGAAAAAACATCCCATATGTTTCTCTGCATTTTAAACTGTTTTAGGATCTGAATTATTCTGAAAATTGTGTCCACTGAGTAAGATAAAAGATACTGCATTTTTGGTTGTGGTTGTTGCTTCTTTGTCCATTGTTCCCGGGCTTATTTAGCCATGATGACAGAGTGGCATGACTGCAAATCAAGGAATTTTTTTTTTTTTATTTAGCTATAACCACATGGGGCTCCATTATATTCCACCAGTTCCCTCTGCAGGAGAGGCACAGGTAGAAGGCCACCTGAACATTCATGCCCAGAGCTGTGAGGTGTAGAAGGCAGTAAGGTGCCCCTGCCAGGCAGGCATGAATCATTGACTCCTCTCTTCTTCCTGCATCTTTCAACATATGAATGAAGTTGTGTTTATTTCAGGGCTTCAGGTTAAAGAACCCAGAAATGTTTCTTCCCTGGGAACCTTACTGGGGAGTGTGGATTCTTTGACAGCCAAGACGCCTTGGGCTCTAAAGCACATATCTTACAATAAGGCCAACTCTTTTCAGAAATCCAGGAACAGGGCACTCAAGTGCAAACCCAAATCCTGCATGGCTTGAGCTTTTCAAAGTAAATAAGTAATTATGGAGGGCCTACAAGTCTGGGACTGTGCTGTGTAACATGGATTACCTCCCTTAGCCCACGGAATATCACTGCGGGCAGATGTTATTTATATCTCCTTATTACAAACAAGGAAGCTTAGGGTCTCAGAGGTTAAACTACTTGCACAGTCACAGCTAGCAAGTGGCAACATTCGAATTTTAACCTAGCAGGTCACGTTCCAGAGTCAATGCCCTAAAATGTTTAACTTTACTGGCCACATCCAGTGAAGAGCTGCCATCTCCATTTCAGCTTAGCACTGAGCTATTATTTCCTATTGAATCCTTTTTCAGCTTTCTGGGTCCTTTTTACATAAGGACCCTAGGCTTGCTGATTTTCTGTATATATATATATGTTGGGAGCAAGCCCCCCCAAAATCTGGCCATAAACTGGCTCCAAAACTGGCCAGAAACAAAATCTCTGCAGCACTGTAACATGTTCATAATGGCCCTAACGCACAAGCTGGAAGGTTGTGGGTTTACGGGAATGAGGGCAAGGAACACCTGGCCCACCCAGGGCAGAAAACCGCTTAAAGGCATTCTTTTTTTCTTTTCTTTTTTTTTTTTTTGAGACAGAGTCTTGCTCTGTCGCCCAGGCTGGAGTGCAGTGGCAGGATCTCCGCTCACTGCAAGCTCTGCCTCCCGGGTTGATGCCATTCTCCTGCCTCAGCCTCCCCAGTAGTTGGGACTACAGGCGCCCGCCACCACGCCCGGCTAATTTTTTGTATTTTTAGTAGAGACGGGGTTTCACCGTGTTAGCCAGGATGGTCTCGATCTCCTGACCTTGTGATCCGCCCACCTTGGCCTCCCAAAGTGCTGGGATTACAGGCGTGAGCCACTGCACCCGGCCTAAAGGCATTCTTAAGCCTCAAACAATAGCAAGAGCAATCTGTGCCTTAAGGACATGCTCCTGCTGCAGTTAACTAGCCCAACCTATTCCTTTAATTCGGCCCATCCCTTCGTTTCCCATAAGGGATACTTTTAGTTAATTTAGCATCTATAGAAACAATGCTAATGACTGCTTTGCTGTTAATAAATACATAGGTAAATCTCTGTTTGGGGATCTCAGCTCTGAAGGCTGTGAAACCCCTGATTTCCCACTTCACACCTCTGTATTTCTGTGTGTGTGTCTTTAATTCCTCTAGTGCCGCTGGGTGAGGGTCTCCCCGACCGAGCTGGTCTCAGCATATATATATCTATGTCTGTATCTCCTTGTATCCTTCTAGAGTGCATTGCAAAGGAATGGTAACGGGTGCTGCTCATTTGTTTGCCTATTTGTGACCCCTGATTTGGGGTACTATTTTTAGTCCTGATACAGTCTTCATTTCTACCTGTCTGAAGCGATGAGATGGAGAAAGAGACTCCCCGCCGATCCCTGTCATAACTGTTAAGCTCCACTGGGACAGAAAGCCCTTGCTGGTTTCTCAAACCTCTGAATTAGGTTTTAAAAAGAGCACAGGGTTCCAAGCACAAACAACAAATCTTCCTTCTAATCTGTTTTTGGATCAAACAATTGTATAGTACCACAGCATAGTAATATGCAAACCTGAAATTAGCCTTAATAATACTCTCAGTGATACTCAGTAGGTCTCATTATTTCAGTCACAGGGTAATGCAGGGTGGATGTAAACACAATTTATGTGAAAGTATACAGCAAGTGGTCTCAAAATGCCTACTATGTGTCATTCAATAGGGATGTAGATATGGATGGGATATTGACCTTCACGATGTAACAGAGAAATGAGACAATAATTATGTTATACATATATAAAATGATAAGTGCAAAAGAAGTTCTCAAAAATTTTTTCTCAATATTTCAGTTCCTTTTTTCTTCCCTTTCCCCCTACCACCTACACTCCCACACCATATGATGCCCCTCACTGCTGGCTTTTCTGGGCCACCCACTGTGACTTCTTATGAAGACCTAAATTTTTCCCTAACAGCAAAGTTTCTGACCTATGTCAGCCTTATCTCACACATCAAAACTTAATCTTACTGTGTTCTATTTCCTTAAAACAACGAATAGACTCATCCAAAGATGTCAGTTACTAATAAAGATTTGACAGTCATTTATATGTTAACAACAGTCTGTATACCTTGACCCCTAGGGGTAAGACTTTGAGCAAGAACTGAAAAGACAAGACATATTAATAGACATAAACATATTGTTAAGACGCTAAAATTTGTAAAATTTTTTCTGCTTGGGCTTTTTAACATGAGGTTTCCCATCATGCTGTGATCAGAATTGCTGGGTTCTTGGTCTCACTGACTTCAAGAATGAAGCCGTGGACCCTCGCAGTGAGTGTTACAGTTCTTAAAGATGGTGTGTCCGGAGTTTGTTCCTTCTGATGTTCGGATGTGTTTGGAGTTTCTTCCTTCTGGTAGGTTCGTGGTCTCGCTGGCTTCAGGAGTGAAGCTGCAGACCTTCGTGGTGAGTGTTACACCTCTTAAGGTGGTGCCTCTGGAGTTGTTTGTCCCTCCTGTCCAGAGTTGTTCATTCCTCCCAGTGGGTTCGTGGTCTCGCTGGCCTCAGGAGTGAAGCTACAGACCTTCACAGTGAGTGTTACAGCTCATAAAAGCAGTGGGGACCCAAAAAGTGAGCAGCAGCAAGATTTATTGCAAAGAGCGAAAGAACAAAGCTTCCACAATGTGGAGGGGGACCCCAGCAGGTTACCGCTGCTGGCTGGGCAGCCTGCTTTCATTCCCTTATCTGGCCCCACCCACATCCTGCTAATTGGTCCATTTTACAGAGAGCTGATTGGTCCATTTTGACAGGGTGCTGATTGGTGTATTTATAATCCCTGAGTTAGACACAGAATGCTGATTTGTGCGTTTACAATCCTTTAGCTAGACAAAAAAGTTCTCCAAGTCCCCACTAGATTAGCTAGACACAGAGCACTGATTGGTGCATTTACAAACCTTGAGCTAGACACAGAGTGCTGATTGGTGCATTTACAATCCCTGAGCTAGACACAGAGTGCTGATTGGTGCATATACAATATTCCAGCTAGATATAAAAGTTCTCCAAGTCTCCACCTGACTGAGGAGCCCAGCTGGCTTTGCCTAGTGGATCCCGTGCGGGGGCCATGGTGGGAGCTGCCCGCCAGTCCTGCACCATGCGCCCACAGTCCTTAGCCCTTGGGCAGTCGATGGGACCGGGTGCCGCGGAGCAGGGGGCAGCACCCGTTGGGGAGGCTCTGGCCTCGCAAGAGCCCATGGGGGCGCAGCTGAGGTCCAGCGAGAATTCCAGCATAGCACAGGTGGGCCGGCAGTGCTGGGGGACCTGGTGCCCCCTCTGCAGCTGCTGGCCTGGGTGGTAAGCCCCTCACTGCGGCTGCCTGCTCTGAGTGCGGGTCCTGCCAAGCCCACGCCCACCCAGAGCTCGCGCTGGCCCGCAAGCCCACGCGCAGCCCTGGTTCCCACCTGCGTCTCTCCCTCCACACCTCCCCCGCAAGCAGAGGGAGTCAGCTCCCACCTGGGCCAACCCAGAGAGGGGCTCCCACAGTGCAGCGGTGGGCTGAAGGGCTCCTCAAGCGTGGCCAGAGTGGATGCCGTGGCCTGAAGAGGTTCCGAGAGGGAGCGAGGGCTGCTAGCACGTTGTCACCTCTCATTGCCACCACTGAAATACCCGTTATTTATCTGGGCCTTCCAAAGTCTTCCCTGATCTGTATACAGTTTAAGAGAAGAATTTTATTTTCCTCCATAATGATTGATATTTTTGTCAAAGGCATCAGCAATGAGTGTAAATTTGCATTTTAAATTTACAATGATTTATTTTTAATGAAAAGTGTCGCTGTTGCAGTTAGTCTAGCTGATAGGGATTCAAGATTGATAGTGAAAGAATATTAGAAATATGAGCATCCCTATGAAGGAAAAGATTGGCACACTTGACTTCATAATTTAAAACCTCTGTACGAGAAAAGATTCCATAAACAAAATTACATGACAAACAGCAGACCTGGAGAAAATACTTGCAACATACATAATCAAAGGGTTATTAAGCATTAAGACCCTGTGAGAAGTTCCTCGCACTCAATAAGCAAAAGGCAGGCAACCTAATTTATATGAAGACAAAAATAAAGACTAAGAGAAAACCACAAATGATTAAAAAGCGCACAAGATTCAAACCTTCAGACGACTGAAGGAAGTCCATTTCTTGAACCTCTATTTGTAAATTTTTCATAAATCCTCAAAATGATTTGTAAGGAAGTTTTTCTTCTCTTTTCTCAAAGAAATGTGTGGGAAGGGCTGTGTTAATTTCAGTTTCCTTCACAGTGGGTTTCTGACATTCTACTTCATTAGTCTTCATTGTCTTGAAGTCATCTTGTTTACTTCAGATCTTCTACAGCTTTTCTGTCAGCAGCACAGTGAAACCTCATCTATCCAGCAGCAACTTCAATCCTCTGGAATCCCCTGGCTTTCTTACTTAAGCTTAAAAAATCTTCTTTTTTTTCCTCAACCATCTAATCACCATCTGCATCCAGCATTTTGAAGTAATATTTTGAAGTAATGGTAAGATGGATAACCTAGTTACTCACTGATTTCCTAGACACAATAGCATGATATGCTCTCTGGAAAAGTAAACAAGTTTTATGAGGGGAAAAATGTACTTGATACACAGGGCCAGTATCAATTCTAGAAGTCCTGATGTTCCTAATAGGGTAAAGGAAGTTAAAAACTTATTTAAGGTTTTCCCATCTGTAGGTTAGACCCCATAAACTTCTTGTATATATTATTTCAGTTAGTTTAGCTGTATATTAGTTGTCTTTAAAATAACATGTAAATTTTAATATCCTATTTGGGAATGGAAGAAAGTATTTACATAGATACATAGATACAAAAAAATGCTTGAAAAGAAGCTTAATCTGATGAATTAAAGATGTGCGAGGTCTCTGCTTATCAGACTGACGAGGCTGGAAAAGATTAATATTTAGTGTTAATGTTGGCAAACAGTGCTGAGTGGGAGCATTAACTGGTCTCACTTCTCTGTAGAGCAACACAGCAACATTTGTCAAAAATATAAATAAATGTCTTTTTTACTCAGCAAATCTTCCAAGGATCTTTATGGGATAAATATTTGCAAAAGTGGATGAATATGCGTGTTCAAAAATCTTGATTGTAGCCTTGTAATAATGAAGTCATTGAGAACCATTTCAACATTGGCCAACAGAGGAGTGGATAAACACATTAAAATACATTCACAGGCGAGGCGCGGTGGTTCGTGCCTGTAATCTCAGCATTTTGGGAGGCCGTTGTGGGCAGATCACTCAAGGTCAGGAGTTTGAGACCAGCCTGGCCAACGTGGTGAGACCTCCGTCTCTACTAAAAATACAAAATTTAGCTGGACATGGTAGCACACACCTGTAATCCCAGCTACTTGGGAGGCTGAGGTGGGAGGATTGCATGAACCTGGGAGGCAGAGGTTGCAGTGAGCTGAGACCGCACCACTGCACTCCAGCCTGGGTGACAGAGTGAGACTCCATCTCAAAAAATAATAATAATAAAAAATGAAATAAAATACATTCACACCGCACATGCAAGCAGCTAAAAAATGAGTAAAGAGTGTACTCCTATGCAAGGATGTCACTTTCTTTATTTTTTACAGTTCCAGGACAATATATACATTATACACTTTTGTAATTAGCAACAAACAACATAATCGTATATCTAGATGTAGGTGTGGGTATGTGTTCGTAGATAAATGGGTGACTCAAACTACTGGCAGTGACCTCTAGGGAGGAGCTTGGGATTGGAACAAGGAAATATTTAAAATTTTTATTTTAATTTCTAACTTGCATTAAAAAAACTTTCATTATTAACATACTAAAAAAAGAGAAGTTTTAACATTTTCTTATAAAATAGTATGCAAATTACTCAGATTCCATTATAGTGCTACTGCATTCTAAAAGAGTTTGTCTGTCTCTTCAAATGCCTCCATTGATAATGCACATTTACCCGTATTTCCCACCAGTTATTTGAAAATCTGGAAAGAGCACTACACTGAAAGTCGGGATGTGTGAGTTCGAGTTTCTGTTGACCTGTCTGTTTGCAGATCAGTACTTTCACTTCTCTGAATCTCTAAAAATGGACCTTGGTAAGATGACTGATTTTCTAACTCTGCTCCCTGCAGACACAAGGAACTCTTCTCCACAAGCACCTACCACCCACCACCCTGCTTTTCAGCCAGAGCTGCTCTGGTTCTCTCTGTTTTATTCATTTTCATATCCACCTATGATTTTGTCTGATTCTGAGCAACAGTCATCTGAAAATATTCAGAAGAGATTATTTTAAGGCTTCTTCTAGAACCAATACTTCTTGCATCTCTAAAACCCAAGTGCTGATTAGGGGAGGCAGTCAACCCTTAAGTTTACTCCAGCTAGGAAGCTGCCTGTCTTCCTCATACATCGGGCCAGAAGCATAGACCTTCTGTATTTTTTTTCAGAATGTAAATTTGGGCTGTTGAGGCTGTAATGGAGATGAATGAGAAGAAACAAAGTGCATGTGTCACAACACAAGAGGCAAAGAGGGCTGCTGGGGAAACAAGGAATTCTTGATCTGCCCTTTCTTCAAATGACCACTGAGCCAGTTGGCATTAGTCTTGGCGTAATGATTTTGCTTGTTGTCTGTGAACATGCTCTGTTCAGAAATAATAGTTGGCAGGATGCCTTGAGAATACATTCACTAGGGAATTGTAATTCATGACTTACTGTTAAAGGTCACACCAGAAACTAGAACCAGCTCTTAATCAACAGCTGAATGGGAGAGGGCCAAGGCCTTATCTTCACTTTCAGAGCCATTGAAATTCAGTGCTTCAGGGGCAGCACCATTCAGCCCAGTAAATTGTGTATAATTTAATAATTTGGCCTCCCAGGGAGCCAAGAGGCCAAAGAAAGAGGCTGACATATCCAGTTTCTCAGAAAGAAACATTTAGTAGGGACTTAGGAACAGAAGCCATGTCTGTGTCTCGGGTGGTGGGAAAACAAGATGGTGGGTCCTGTGCCATTATCCCACAGACCAAGGGCTTATGCACCATAGGGGAGGAGTGATTCAGAAGGGATGTGTAGGACAATTGAAGTATGATAACAGCAACGTTGTTGGACCTAAGGGCAAGATTTATGGTAAGTACCTGCTCTCAGAAGGAACAGTAGATAAACTGGAAATTTTAGAGGCTTTCCCAGAACTGGAGTTAATGAGAAGCCAACATGCCAGATTAGAAATCTAAGATGGAGTTGCTTTGGCCTCCATGCCATCCTCTCAAGACACTAAATATGTCATAGTGAACTCATCTCTAACACCACTGTCTGCATCATGAGTGGCATCCAGTGGCTATGGAACTATTTGCCAAAGTAGGAATTGAAAAACAGTGTCAAGATGGAGCATTCATTTGTCACATTCCCATTTCACAGCCCAGACATAATGACATAGGTTGGTCATTTATTCTGTCATTCTATTTTTTCCATAGGAAAGTCTTAATACTGTGTTTAAAATATCACCAACTGAACCTACTTGACTTTAACTCATTGAATTCCCTGGTTGCCTCTTAACACTTCTACATATACCACATAGCACTGAAATTAGCTGTTATCCTTTGGATTTGTGTTATTAAAGGAAGGTTCTGTCTCCTATTTCTCTTATATCCCCTCTGAGATCCAAATAAAATGCTAACAGCCAATAGACTAAATGTGACTAAAATTTTTTTGCCATTAAAGAGACAAGAAACAGGAGAGAAGCAATTTGAGATATGTTATACTGACAAATAAGCATATTAAATGTAACAGTGTGCCTCGATTGGACACTTTAAAGAGTAAGCTACAAAGGAAGGGAAGAGTGGATAAACAGGGAACTGTCTCTGTTATTTAAATAAAAAATAAAGTTGAATCACCAAAGGGCTGCCATATAAACAATTTTTAAGCACTTCTTACATGTCATTTTGTATAAGTTATTTACTGACACAATGATGCTGAGAATCCAACTACCCCAAAACTCAGTGGCTTAAAACAATAAACATGTATTTAGCTCTCAACACTCTGTAGATTAGTGATTTAGATTGGGTTCAGTTGCAGGATTTTTCTCATCTCGGCTTGGCCCGCTCACACATCTGGAGATGAGTTAGTTGTCAGCTGTTAGCTGGGTCACATGATTCTCATCTTCCAGCAGGCTAGCCCAGGCAGGCGTTCGTGGCAGTGTCAGAAGGCAAGAGCAAGAGCAAGTCTCAATATGCAGGTCCTTTACAAGCCTCTATTTGCATCATGTTTGCTAACAGCCCACTGGGCAAAGTAAGTTGCATGGCTGAGCCCAGAAGCAGAGAGGGAGGGCACCACACAGTTACAGAATAAAGAACATGAACACTTGAAGAAATAAAGAATTAGGGCCCCAAATACTATCTCCCCACAGACTCTGTGCTCACTTAATTGATGCCACCTCATTTAATTTCACAATAACTCTATAGATATTTTTACTATTACTTCCAGTCAATAGATATAAATACTAAGGATAAGAGAAAGACCAACCAAGTGGTGATGAATAGAGTCACTACCTCTTCCCCTCTTTTATAGGGTCTTCTGTCTGCATATATTTTAGAATTTCTCAAACCTTGATTATTTATAGAAAAGATATGGAAAATTATGGCAAAGAGAGCGAGAGAGAGAGAGCTTTCAAATAGAATGGTGTTTGGCAGAGAATGGCAAAGTTAGGAGCTAAAGAGCCTAGTCTATATATTCCACTTGCGTGTGACCTGGAGCCGCTATGTTTTGGCCACTTTCTCCAATTTGGAATAACTGTATTTACTCAATACCTGTACCCCCATTGTATCTAGGAAGTAACTAACTTGCTTTTGATGTTACAGACTCATAGGCAGAAGGACTTCCCTTGTCTCAGATGAGACTTTGGACTATGGACTTTTGAGTTAATGCTGAAATGAATTAAGACTTTGGGGGACTATTGGGAAGGCATGATTGGCTTTGAAATGTGAGAACATAACATTTAGGAGGGGTCAGAGGCAGAATGATTTGGTTTGGTCATGTCCCCACCCAAATATCATCTTGAATTATAGCTCCGACAATTCCCACATGTTGTGGGAGGGACCTGGTGGGAGATAATTGAATCATGGGGGCAGTTTCCCCCATACTGTCCTTGTGGTAGTGAATAAGTCTCACGAAATCTGATGATTTTATAAGAGGAAACCCCTTCACTTGATTCTTATTCTCTCTTTGCCTGTCACCATGTAAGATGTGCCTTTTGCCTTCAGCCATGATCATGAGGTCTCCAGAGCCACGTGGAACTGTGAGTCCATTAAACCTCTTTTCCTTTATAAATTACCAAGTTTCGGGTATGTCTTTATCGGCAGCATGAAAATGAACTAATATACGTACATTATTTTCAACTTGTGTGCATGTGTACACACACATATAATGTAAGGAAGCATTTCAAACTGTTAAAAGCTGTAGGACCATAAACAATATAGGTTTTTTCTTTCTCTTGTTTTTCAAAACTTTTGCAATTACTTGCATGTTAAAGGTTAGCATTATTTTAATAAAATATTATACAAAAGAAAATGTAATAGTTAATGAATGTTGCATTAGTCCATTCTCATGCTGCTATAAAGATGCTACCTGAGACTGGGTAATTTATAAAGAAAGGAGGTTCAATTGACTCACAGTTCCACATGGCTGGGGAGGCCTCAGAAAACTTACAATCATGGTGGAAGATGAAGGGAAAGCAAGGCACGTCTTCCAGGGCAGCAGGTGAGAGAGAAAGCACAAGGGAAACTGCCACTTTTAAACCATCAGATCTCATGAGCACTCCCTCACTATGACAAGAACATCACGGGGGAAACCACCCCCATAATCCAATCACCTCCCATAAGGTCCCTCCCTAGGCACATGGGGATTACAATCTGAGATGAGATTCAGGTGAGGACACAGAGCCAAGCCATATCAAATGTGTTCTAATTAAGGTCTAAAAATACTAGTGTTATCATCATTCAAAATCTCTAAAATGTGTATCTAATACAGTATGCAGAAGGAAACATCATAAGAGCTAGACTCAGGGTTAGAAGAAAAAAATTGTATTCCCAAAATCCTCAATGTGAGTTTGATAAAAAATTCTGGAAGTAAAACCAAGCTCTAGACATCAACAAGTTCACTGGCTTTTCATACTTGATTTTAATAATAGAAACCCCTGTTACTTTTACAAGAAAATGTAGATGAACTCAAACAAGTAAAACTGCTTCATTTGAAACCAAACCCTCCAGCAGTATGCTTGAACTCTATAGTAACCTATTTGGAATCCACTGACCTAGTCCAACCCATGACTTTCCAGATGAACAGATCCCCAGATGGAAGGGGCTGATCTTCCTCTCCTCTAATCCAGGGTCAGATAAGAGGAGGCCCCATGCTACCTCTCAGCAGTCCAGGGCCAGGTGACTCTTATCATCATTGCAAGACACAAAGTCAAAGGTAGAGAAGAAAATCATGTCCCACAGGACTGTGAGAGAGAAAAGGCAAAGGTACAAACCACGTTGTCCTTGAAGGGCCAGAAGGCAGAGACTAAATCTAAGAGCCAGTGCCTGCTTTTCTGAGACTCCAGTGATGGCTTGCACAACTACTCCAGGTTGGTGTACGGAGTCAGGATGGGGCAGATATGGAATGTCTTGTGGATGAGGGTCACATGGCCAACTAGTGAAACTCTAGGACTGAAGGCCAGGTGTTTCAACTTAGTAAGATGGCCTGGCTAATTCACACACAAACACACACACACACATGTAAACCTATGTAAACCACATAAACTTCACATTCCAGTGTTCACCTTATTGAATATGTCCTTCTTGAGATCTTCAATGATCAACCTCAATGCCAATCCAATGAATAATTTCATTCATTTTCCTATGTAATCTCTCCTTTGTCTTTTCCTTTGGCCGTCTTCTCACTATATATTTTCTCAGAACTCTATCACCCTCTCCCATTGCATCAATTAGCATCTAGTTTTAGTGATCAGACTCCAGTGTGCTTAAGAGTCATCTGAAAAGTAGGATTAAAATGACGATCTGGGGCCCATTCCCAGAGGAGTTGGCTGCCAGGGTTTTGGGGGTGGGTGCAATGTACACAGATGGTCTTTGAGAAACACTGAACAATATGGTAATGATTCTCAAAGTGAGTCTCCAGTCCAGATCTTTCTCCTGGGCTCGAGGCCTAAAATCTCAACTGCTCGATACATTTGGAGAAATCCTGTCACTTTAAATTCATCATGCTCTTATCCACCCACCCCCAAATCCACTGTCTTTTCCTACATGTCCATTGTGGTCCTGCCATCTCTTCAGACTCTGCCATAAGGCTGAATCCAGGTCCTCAATAATGGTGAGCTCCTACCTATTTTCCGCCTTTGCTGGCCTCTGCTTTCTCTTTCCCTCCCTTACTTATTTCTAATGGCTGAATGTCACCCAAAGATAGGAAGAGCCACTGACCGCATAACATTCAGTACTTCCCAAATCTCCGAGTTCAGTCATTGCAATGACTGCTACCAGTTTCCATGAAGAAAAGGAGAAAATATAGGAATAAACATATTAATATTTCCATGTCCATATAATTTTTCCAAAACATTATTCATAAAAAGGTTATCTGGTAGTCAACGTTGATGGAAGCTTCAAGACTAATTAGGGGATAGGAAGTAAGAGCAGTATGCCGGGTTGCTATGGAACTGATGGCTTAAAGCTGAATGTTAAGCAGACTCAAAAGTCCTCCAATCATGATCCCCTCCTCACCTCCTCGTCTATTCAAGCCCAGCCTCCCTTCATCTGACCCTGGCTCCTCTACTTAGCTTTCTTCTTCTGCTCCACACTTACTCACTGAGAACCCCCAACTTCCTGGGCATTGCTTATGCAGAGCAGTTGAACTCTTCCTATATGTCACTCTAAGCACATCCCAACTATGTCTAGAGATCAACCTCACCAACTAGAATGAACCACCAATGGATTTTTAAATATAGAGATGTTTCTCCTTCAAGAAAAACATTCTGTTACCAGCCCTTTCACATTTTTTTTTCCCTGTGGCATAAGTTGGGTCTTTTGAAATTGCTTTGATATTAGTCACAATCTGACCACCATGATATTTTTTGATCTTTTCCTCCTGTGAGAATAGTTGAGCAGAGTCATTACAGTAAATTGCTAGTGAGGCCAGTGTCTCTGGTTCAGTCCTCCTGAGAGTTAGTTAGCTTTGTGTTGTTGCCAGATCTCAGCACACCTCCTCCCTCCAGCTAGGTGTCTTGCCAGGGCAGGTTTATTACTAGAAAGGCCAGTTTTGGGGTGGCAGTTTGGAGAAAGAAAGGAAAAGGGTATGGGGGAGAGAGCACCTTTTCTTTTTTCTTTTTTCTTTTTCTTTTTTGAGACAAAGTCTCACTCACATACAGGCTGGAATGCAATGGCGCAATCTTGGCTCACTGCAACCTCCGCCTCCTGGGTTCAAAAGATTCTCATGCCTCAGCCTCCTGAGTAGCTGGGATTACAGGTGCATGCCACCACACCCAGCTAATTTTTTTTGTATTTTTTGGTAGAGATGGAGCTTCACCATGTTGGCCAGGCTGTAGCACCTTTTCTTATTAACCTCAAAATATCCAGAAACTTGGAACCAGAATCTATCTTTCATTGAGTTTGAGTTAATGGATTATATGACAATATTCACTGGCCCTGCCTGTTTCCCCAGGAGCTCCTTGGTAAGATTAGGTTGCTTCCTTGTGAAATCTCTTCTTAGACAAGGAAACAGACTCTGTTTATCCTTGGCCACAGTTAGCATCTTCCAATTTCTATTGATGGTAGCTTTGAAGTTTTCAATTTTTTAATTCAGAATCTGAAACTTTACATGCATCCTAAGTGAGTGGGTCAATGGCAGAACCCAGCCCTTGCTTCAGCTGGAACGAGATTAGATGGGCATGTTTATTTTTCACTTATTTATTTATGAGTCAGGTTCTCACTCTGTTGCCCAGGCTGGAGTGCAGTGGTGCAATTATAGCTCATTATAACCTTAAACTACTGGACTCAAGAGATCCTGTGGCCTCAGCCCACTGAGTAGCTGGGGCTACGGGTGCACATGCCTAGCTAATTTTTTTTTTTAATAGAGACAAGGTCTCATTATATTTCCCAGGCTGGTCTTGACTCCTGAGGCTCAAGTGATCCTCCTGCCTCGGCCTCCCAAAGTGCTGGGATTACAGACATAAGCCACTGTGCCCAGCCATGATATGTTTATTTTTAAAGAAAAAAAAGTTTTAAATGTCATTCAACAATAATGTAGTTATGAGTAGAGATAGAAAAGGCTGATGACCCAATGGTTATTTTAACAGCAAACTAATTACAGAAAAAAAAATTATTGATGTGAGTTATGGAAATAATTTTAAAGAGATTTAAAAACTTTGGAAACTTATGTTTTTATAATCAGATACAGAAACTAATAGCTTGATGCTTTAAAAAAATCCAACAATATAACTAATAGTAACTCGATAACACTAATTACCAACTATTACTGTTCTCTATCAGTAATTTTTAACTGTGAATTTTGTGGGTTTTTTTTAATGATGGCAATACAAGACAAGATATGGTCTGTGTATTTCTGTAAGGATTTTCCTTAGTTCCAGAACCATCCAGGTGATCTTGAACAGCACACTATGTAATAGAATTCCTGGTTTCAACTTCTGTTAGAGAAGCAATATTTCTAGATCCATTCATCTTAATACTCCATGATCTCTGACAAAAAAAAAAAAGAAAAAAATTTAGTAGGATTAGTAATACAGCCTATTCCAATGACTGTTACACACATCTTAACCCATAGCGCCATCCTTACATAGGGCAATTTCAAAATTGTTCTCCTACTTCCATTAAGCTTTAAGCAGCAATTCTTTTGTGGATCACAGACCCTTTAGAGAAGCTGATGGAAGCTATGGCCCTTCTCCTCAATTTGAGAAAAAGACAGAAATCCATACACAACATAGTATTATAATTTTAGGAGAGCTATTGACCTCTTCAACCCTGTAAATGGACTTTGCAAAGAACCGTAGACCTCAGTTTTTAAAACTCTGGATAAATATTTACTTTTAATGTCTAGCCTTAAGAAGTAAACTCAGACAAGATGTTGAATGAATACAGAACAAGGTTAAGACTGCCAAAAAGGATCTTCCCTACCTAACTCATATTTTACACTACCATCAAAATATCTCAAAGCTTAGCACAGGGGCATTTCTCCCCGTTTCTAGCCCTCTGTGACCCCATTACCCCTCAAAGTGAGAGCACAGGCCCCCATGTGGCCTGCCAGCCTTACCTCCACTCCGGCCTGTTGCCCAGGACTCCCTAAAGACCACACCCGTCAAAAAGGACATGACCCATTCCCCTGTGATACTCACCGCTGTGCCTTTTCTCACATTTTCCTCATTGTCTGCACTGCTACCTTCTTTCCTAGGTTTATCTATTAACATCTTTCCACTTATTTGCATGTAAGATAGAATGTCACCTCCTCCATAAAGATTTCCCTGAGCCTTTTTGCTGGATGTAGGCAGGCCTGCCTTAAAACCCTGTGGCAATTTATTATTACATATTACCTAGTTCCTTAAATTGATTCACACTGCCTGCCTTGCCCAAGTGACACATTAAAGGTTATTGAATGATTCAATGAATGAATGGTAATGGTAATGGAATGAATAAATGAACGAATGAATGAATACCTGAATTATAACAGTGAAAGTCTGGCTGGATCGGGAGTTTACAAACTTGAGACACTGGGAAGTGAGAAGAGAATAAACAACTGGATGGGAAAAATTAGCCCTGGCCTAGGAGCCAGAATTCCAGGGTTCTAGCCCCTCTCAAACATTTCCTTACTGTGTCAACTTGAGTAAGTCATTTAATTTCTTTAATGCTCATTTTTCTTGTGTAAATTAAATGAAACATAAAATATATATGTGTGTGTGAACGTGCTTTGTAAACTGACATCAAATTTTATATCACTATCATCATTTTATGTCACTATCATCATTCTTCACATGACTGTCAAGAAGTAAGTGGAAAATTCTACAATCCAAATAAAAGGTAACCCAAGTAACTCAACTGTTTAACTACCTTGATTTTATTCAAGCTTTGTAGACATTTACAAATTAAGTCAAAGGTACAGGCAATTGGTGTTTCTCAATGTGATGATATTGCCTAACCTTCCTTTTCTGTGAATTTTTTTTTAATCCACGTATTTAAACACAGTCAAAATTTATTACACATCAATTGCTCTAACCAAGCTTTATTGCAGGGGCTCTCAGTGTGGAGTCCATGGACCACAGGGTTGTCAATGTACGTTAGTAGGCTCCAAGAAGCCTCTGTAATTTTATGCAAAATTTTATGAATCTGTGTTCAAAAAAAGGATCTGAGGCTGGGTGCAGTTGCTCACATCTATAATCCCAGGAATTTGGGAGGCCAAGGTGGGCAGACAACTTGAGTCCAGGAGTTTGAGACCAGCCTGGGAAACATAGCAAGACCTTGTCTCTACAAATAGTAAAAAAATTAGCTGGGTGTGGGCCGGGTGTAGTGGCTCACGCCTGTAATCCCAGCACTTTGGGAGGCCGAGGTGAGTGGATCACGAAGTCAGGAGATCGAGACCATCCTGGCTAACATGGTGAAACCCCTTCTCTACTAAAAATATAAAAAATTAGCCAGGCATGGTGGCGGGCGCCTGTAATCCCAGCTATTCGGGAGGCTGAGGCAGGAGAATGGCATGAACCTGGGAGGCAGAGTTTGCAGTGAGCAGAGATTGCGCCACTGCACTCCAGTCTGGGTGACAGAGTGAGACTCTGTCTCAAAAAAAAAAAAAAAAAAAAATTAGCTGGGTGTGGTGACACACACCTGTAGTCCCAGCTACTCAGGAGGCTGAGATGGGAGGATGAAACAGGAGGATCACCTGAGCCAGGAAAGTTGAGTCTGCAGTGAGCCCTGATCCTGCCTCTGCACTCCAGCCTGGGTGATGGGAGTGAGATGCTGTCTCAGAAAAATAAAAAATAAAAAAAAGGATCTGTACTTCTTATCAAACCCTCAAATGGACCCATGACCACAAAAAGTTTGGGAACTTCTATTAAAGTTTAATAAAACCTGAAAAACCTCTTGGATTTGTACTTGCCTAACACAATGATAGGAGTAGGACCCCAAAATGTATGGTAATGGGAATCTAGCTAGAAAGCTGTTAAGAGTTGTCCATGGAAGGATTAAGAGGGTCTGATGTGGGGATTATCGTGGAAATAGAGAGGACAAAGCAGATGCAAGGAGCATCTTTTAGACAGCCAATCCACCCTTGTGTAATCTGTCAATTTTCATAGATGAGAGATTCTCTTCCGTCACAAGGTATTCTTAGCTCTGTCTGAAAGTTATCTCTGTTTTGGTCTAGAGATTCCATCTTCCTTCTAGTCTTATATATCTCCAAAACTTAATGCGTCAATAATTTATCCCTAATTTTGAAAGGATACCTTGAGGCTCTTGATGTATGAGTGAGGAATGAACAATATTTTGCTGAGTTTGATTTGAGAAGCAGTATGGGGAAAAGGGCCCCACTATGGGGAAACGTGGCTTGAGATGACACTGAAATAAAAAGGAGTTCTGGGAAAGAGACAGAATAGATATAAATCTTTAGTAAAAGGAACTTTGGAAAAAGCAGAGATGTTAAAAAAGGAATATTTAAGAAGCTTTGCTGTGTGGTGTGTAATGGAACCTTTTATACCACTTTTGTGCCACTGATGTTTCAGTAAAATCCATGTTGTGCAGTTTGGCATAAACTCATAAATCTAGACTGATCAGTGATTTTTGGCTTTGGCTGTATGTTACAATCACCTGAAGAACTTCCAATAAATATTCAATGTGTTGGCTTTGCTCCCAGATATTCTGATATATTTGGTCTTAAGTAGGGCCTCAGCATAGTACTTTTAAAAAGTGCTGCAGGTGATCTAAAGTGATTTTAAAGCCAATGGTTTAGGGTCTGGAATGGTGATTTGTAGTCTTCCTCTGATTCATCGGAATCATCCTAGGAGCTTTTAAACAGTACAGAAATACTGGCTCCACCTTACCCCATTTAATTTGAATCACTGGACATTACAAGTTTTTGTAAAGTTTCCCAGGTGATTCTGATGCAAGATGAAGTTTAAAAACCGCTGGCTCTAGAAGAGAAATATACCAGGACCTAAAAGACAAGATCAATCTATTAAGAAGCCATATAGACTGCTTCGTAATGGTACTAAGTAACTAATTCCAAGATGTCTCCCTCTCAAAAGGTACTTATCAACATTTTATTTCTATGCTAAATGAATGAAAACGATAGTAAGAGCTATCCAAGGTTGATCCTACCCTCTAGACAAAAAAGAAGCAAGATGATTAGGATGAAAGCAAACTTCCAATGCAACTCTTATTGTGCTTGAAGAATTCGTGCTTTCGGACTGGTTTCTTATGAAAAGCAATTTGAAGTGGTAACTCATAGAAACTCTAATTTAAAGTCGTATGAGGGAAAAGGAAAAGAAAACCAACTTAGAAGAACAGAGGTCTTTTCAATGTTAATCTGGTATAATTCAGCTTCCAAGAGAAAGAAAGATACACAGCCTGACCCATTTTTAGGGACCATCGGGAACATGAGGGACCAAGTAGAATGGGACAATGGTGCCCTGTCAGAGGTGGTAGGTGGCCAAGATGTCCCCATTCCTTTCCTGTTCTGAGACATTCTGTGCAGGTAAGCTGGTGGCCTTTCAGGGTGTTCTGGATGGTAGTACCCCCTACATACACAGTTATTTATTAAACAAAGACTTCCTCTTGCCAAAAAAAAAAAAAAATTGGTCTGGTGTAAAATCATGAGGCCCATTGTTCCACAGCAAGAAAGCCACCTCATAATTTACTACTCTGTAGTGTGGGCCATTTTTCTTTTTTCTTTTTTTATTTTTATTTTTGAGACAGAGCCTTGCTCTGTCGCCCAGGCTGGAGTGCAGTGGCATGATCACAGCTCACTGAAACCACCACCTCCTGGGTTCAAGAGACTCTCCTGTCTCAGCCTCCCGGGTAGCTGGGATTACAGGCGCATGCCAACACGTCCAGCTAATGTTTGTATTTTTATTACAGACAGGGTTTCTCCATGTTGGCCAGGCTGGTCTCGAACTCCTGACCTCAGGTGATCCGCCTGCCTCGGCCTCCCAAAGTGCCGGGATTACAGGTGTGAGCCCAGTCAGTGTGGGGCATTTTTCACTACTGAATTATTTGGGGCTTAAATTTAAAAACAAGCATACATGCACACACACACACATACGCAATATGCACACATGCACACACAGTTTCTGGGACATATTCACAGGCATACACACATGCACGCACAGGCATTCACTCATATGATTTCTTTCAGCTGATCCTGCTTGTTCTGCTCTTGTTCATAATATGGGAGCAGTTGACTGTTACTGCAGTGACTATTCCAATTATTAGGGCAGTGAAATAGGTTGCCAGCAAGCCATAAAAAGCTCCTTAGTTTAAAGAAAATGCCAGCATTTTGTTTTTTGGTGAGATGAGTTCCTTACTTGCAGAGGACAGACTGTAATTACTCAATAAAGCTGCATTTTGTCGCTCTGAAAGCTGCTGGCATACCATGTGTTTAAGAAAGCGACACTATGATTTTCCTCATAACACCTGAATTCTAACAAAGAATGTTTAGTGCTGTAGTTTCCATATGAAAAAGAAAGCAGAAAGACAAAAGGCAAATCAAGAGTCTAACCCTGAGAACTGGCTAGAGCTGGTGAGAGTCCGTGGGCCAGTGCTGGAGGAATGAAGATGGTCTCTAATCATCCTGGATCATCCTAGATCAGCTCAGACCCAGTCCAGAGCCCAAGGGAACAATGCCATTGAGTTAAGACAAGGTTGATTATGAAAAGATTTACAAAGCACCGAGGGTACTGATAGGAAAAAGCCTTTCTACTGACACATGGAAGATGATTCAGGCAGGATTTGTTTTGTTTTGTTTTACCATAACAAAGTAATAAATAAAATGAAAACCTTAATCATGATACCAACTGCCATTATAGAATTTTTTAAAAATTGCCCTTATGAATAAAATGGTAGAGTTTTCTGCTATTTGTTCCAAAACACTACCCACATCGATTGAGTGCTTAGATTTGTCTTCAGGACCATGGTTACTTTCACTTTGCTTCTGTGAGTCAAGACCAGAAAGCATAAATTCAGAGACAAGATCCATTCCAGCCAAGGAACTTCATGATGCAAGGCTTGGAGTAGGAATGAACACAGTCGTGGGGAACTCAGTATGACAGATGACTCGAGAAAGACCTGGGTTGAAATTCTGACTCCTGTTAGCTATGCCAACCCGAAAAATTATGTAATCTCTGTGCCTCAGTTTGCTCATCTATAAAATGGGGACACAAATAGTATCTACTTCATGGAGTCATTAGAAGAATCAAATGAATTAATGCATGTAAGCGCTTAATTCAAGAATATTACATGCATTAATTCAAGAGTGCTTAGCACAGCCTCAGTAAATCTTAGCTTCTATTAGTCGTCTTTGACTCATTCTTGTACCTCCTGCATCCAGCTCATTGCCAAGACTTACTGATTCTATCTCTATCTCTTATATCACCTCCACTGTTGTTTTTTGTTTTTGTTTTTGTTTTGACATGGAGTTTCGCTCTTGTTGCCCAGGCTGCAGTGCAATGGCGCAATCTCGGCTCGCCGCAACCTCCACCTCCCAGGTTCAAATGATTCTCCTGCCTCAGCCTCCCAAGTAGCTGGGATTACACACATGCGCCACCACGCCCGGCTAATTTTGTGTTTTTAGTAGAGATGGGGTTTCTCCATGTTGGTCAGGCTGGTCTCGAACTCCAACCTCAGGTGATCCGCCCACCTCGGGCTCCCAAAGTGCTGGGATTACAGGCATGAGCCACTGCGCCCGGCCCACTGTTTTTTTTTTTAATTCCTACTGTGCTGTCCTGGTTCAGGCAGATACTCATTATTTCTGATTTGAATTCCTATAGCACCTTCCACAGTGGCCTCCTCACTCTCTATTTTTCCTCTCTCCAGTCCGTTCTGTATACTGAGACTAAATTAATATTCTAGAACTGGAGTTCAGATCACAGCCTTCTCTTGGGCAAAACCCTGTGAGTGCCCAGTGTCCCTAGAATGAAGCTCCTGGCATCAAGGCTGTCCACCGTAGGCCCAACAGGTTCTGACTCCCACGATTCTCCTGAACATCCTCTGTACCTCCAGCCCAAGCATGAGGCATGCATTTGAACAGAACATCGGGTGTGCCTACACACCATCCCCTTCTTCCACACGGGCTACCTCCCTCTCCCTCCTCCTCTCTTCCCTCTCCTTCACTTCCTTGCTACTGACTCACCTGAACATTTCTGCTCACTACAATTATAGCTATTCTTTATGTCTGAGCTTAAATGCTGCCTCTATGAATCAGCCTCCTTCCATCTCGTCAAACAGATTCCATTTCTCATCCTTTGAATCCCTACAGCACATTCTGGATATTTATATAAAGTAATTTTCCCTCTGTGGTACAGCCACGTGTATTTGTGTAATCTTCCCCTCACCATTGTGAGTTTTCTAGGTCCTGGCCCTGTGTCTTATCCATCTTTGTCTCCACTGCAGTCCCTAAGTGCTGTTGTAGAATTCAGCCTAGATTGAGAACTCAATACGTGTTTATTGAGTGAAAGATGTTCTTTGATATTAAAAATGTTGATGTTTCAATATCCAATGTAAACACAAAAACAAAAGATGGTGGGAATAAAGTCTTAAGACACGAGAGGCCAAGACTAAGAATTCAAGAATATGTTTCCAGCACTGAGCTGCGCCTACTTGGCATGTATAATATATAATTATTGTGGCGGTAGTGTCACGTAGCCTCTCAAAGCAGATAGAAGATATTCCTTAAAGAATCCCTTGCTGTTTGTCCTGATTATGAATGACTTTTCCCAGGCACCTGTGTTCCTAGAAGGGCGTAGACTCTCTGGTGGTGGCACCCTGAAGTGCTTATTTTCCTCAGTAAATTAATCAATTGGGGCTTTGGTTTGCAAATCAGACCAGTGTGGAATCTTCTTTCAGGGCCTGATCCTTGCTGGCAGAGTGCCAAAGGCTTCTAGGTGTGCAGACAGCCAAGACCTTAGTTCTATATTTGGATGCCATAGAAGAGTGAAAGACCAAAACAAAAAACAAACAAGCAGAAATATCATCCTTTAAGAATCTTCCTCTCCTTTTCTTAAAACAAGCCTAAATGCTCCTCTGGGACTCTAGTACTTCAGGATCTTCTGATTCATGCCAGACCGACGTAAATCATCCCTCCTGCCCTCTGCTCAGGATCAAGTGGAAAGTTCCAAGGACAGGGCATGGGAGTGGGGGCCTAGGACCAGAAGGTTACATAAAGCAAGAGCTGGGGAGAACCCTCTGCCCACCCAGGCCCTCCATCTTTCCCTTAAAAACCTGTGTTCCTTCCAATCGTCCTTGCTCCTGGTGAGCCATCCCCACTTTTTCCTTGGGCTGTTTGTCTCTGCCTGGGAGTCTCTGAATGTCAGGCTGTGTGTGTCTGTGTGCATCTGTCTCTGCTAATCTGTGATGCTATTAAAGTCGTTGGGATTGTATATATCAATATGCAAATTTATGCAACAACTAATGCGTAACTTAGCATTTTACATTTGAGCCAAAAGACTACACATGACTACTTGCAATGATCTTATGTCCCCAGAAACTTTTGGTTACGGAAAAAAACAAATCTCTGTAGCTTATCTGGTTTAGCCGTTGTCTCTGTTGCTGTTTGAGCCACCAGGAGAAAGCAGTCAGGGAATGTTAGCAAAAGGGCTGAAGACTGTAGAATCCGCCCTAAAAAAGAAAGCAAAAAAGAGAAGTGTACAAACTGTTAGCATATGGAAGCCAAGAAGGGAAACTTTAAGCTGAAGACACTGAGCATAATCATTTTTAAATGGCAACGTGAGCTGGAAAATGTTTTGCTAACCAGTCTTTGGAGAATTGAGCTCTACACTAGAGAAGGAAGAATCAATAATCTTAAATGACCTGAGAAGAAAGCAAATACCTGGAAACACTCATACACACCATAGAATTAATGAGTAAAGCAAGCTCCAGTTTGCTATATGGGTCTACATACTTAGAAGAATAGATTTTTTTTATGAAAGTAAAGTCCTTGTACTTCCTATTTATTTTATTATTCAATAAATCAAGAGACTTAAAGGATATAGCTATTTTGAGGACTTTATTATATTTTTAAAAATCAAAAGAGTTTTATTTTCAATTTTCTGCCCTTACCATCCAAGGACAGTCAAGGTCATTTCTCACTGCTAGAACAGACCCATTCTGTCATGCCAGATACTTAGGCTAATGATTCAGGGATTGAGTTTCTTCTTCAACTAGTTTCAAATTCATATGTTAAACTATTCTCAAAGGGAGGCTGACTCTTCAAGCAGGTGCTCCAGGCCCCCGAGGGAAGGGGGAAGAGGCTTGGACGTGCCTGTCGGTGTAGGGGAAAGCTTGGGCTGCTCAGCTGCTCGTAAGTAAACAAAAAATGAGAAGGGACAGGAGAGGCGGCTCTGCCCAGCGATTTATGTACAGAGATGTTTTGCCGTGCAGTTGCCTCTGTGACACAGCCAATTTCTCGTCTTCTCCGCCTCCTTTTCTCTCCTTAGGTTCCGTTGGCTCTAGATTCCCCTCTGATAGGGCTTTCTATGGTGTCCACGATGTACCAGTTAGGATCACTTTGGGCTACATGTAACAAAAAGCCAACTGCAGAGGCTTCACCAAATGGGGCTTTAGTTTTTCTAGCTGAATAAAAAGTCCACATGTTCGCAGAGCAGGGCAGAGACTTGAGGAAGCCATGGAGTGTCCTTCAACCAGGGTCCTTCTAGTTTCCTGCTCTGCTGTCCTGACTGTGGTTTTTGTCTTCGTGGTTGCAGGCTGGGTACTGCAGGTGAGACAGCCAGGTGGGAGGGGGTCCTTGGAGAAACTCCAACCAGCCTGCCCACTGAGGTGGAGCCACAGGAAGTTCACAACATTTGCAGCAGGGAGGAGCCTGGCCCCTCCTCTTCCTGTGTGGAACCTGGGATTCAAACGACATCTAGCAGGAGACTCTGGCCTTGTGGAGAGTCCCTGTTTCCCTCTTTTCTTCCTTTTTATCCAATAAAACCCTGTTTTACTCACCCTTCAAACTGTCTGTGAACCTAAATTTTCATGGCCGTGGGACAGACAAGGATCCCATCTTTAGCTGAGCTGAGGAAAAGTCCTGCAACACAGGTACAGAAATGGTGTAGGAAGAAGGGGGAAGAGAAGAAGAAAAGGGAGTGTGTAGCTGAGCCTGTCTCTTTTCATGACATAAACAATAGAGTCCCAGAAGCCCCTCCCTATAGACTTCAATTTTGTCACCAATCCGGGTCACATGGCTACTCCTACCCATAAGAGGGTCCAAGGGAGTAAGCATTTCTAACTGAGTTCATCATCATCGTGAATGAATTTACCTTCTCTTTGTAAAAAAGGAGGTGACATTGGGTAAGCAATGAATTAATCAAGAATGTTTCCTGAGCAGTTGTCAAATGCGAGGGGTGGTGCAGGGTGTCATCTATATGAGAAGATGTGTTTTACACCTTTCTATTATACAGTGAACAAAGTGTTACTTAACAAATGTGTGTTGATTTAGGTTAAATTCAAACAGGTCAGACAGAGGAGCCATAATTTCAATCAGACCCTGAAATCTAAGAGAAATGTAGGTAGGGAGGAATGTAGGGAAGGATATTTCAACCTGAGACAATTATCTGAAGCTGTGGGCTCAAGTTTTTTTCTACCAAACACACTAGATAAATGATATATTTAAGTGTGATGCACATCACCCATTTTTAAGAAAGTGCATATGAAGGCAAATGAAGGTAACATCACGAGGAAAACCTGGAATTCTCTTTGCTTTAAGACCCTGACAGGTATCTGTATTTTTTTTTTTTTTTTCAGACCGAGTCTCGCTCTGTCACCCAGGCTGGAGTGCAGTGGCACGATCTTGGCTCACTGCAACCTCCACCTCCCGGGTTCAAGCGATTCTCCTGCTTCAGTCTCCCGAGTAGCTGGGACTACAGGTGTGCACCACCACGCCCAGCTAATTTTTGTATTTTTAGTAGAGACAGGGTTTCACCATGTTGGCCAGGATGGTCTCGATGTCTTGACCTCGTGATCCGCCCACCTTGGGCTCCCAAAGTGAAGTATCTGTATTTTAAGTACCACTGATGACTCCTGTTCTGTTGATTATAGTAAAAAATGTCTACTTCTAGTTGTTATGGTCCCTTTCAATACCAAGGGGACTGCCTCTTGGATATGCTTAAGCTTTACGGTAGCATAAAGAAAATGTTTCCCTTTATAAGTAGCACCTCACTAAGACTTGTTTCTCTGTCAAATGAGTCCAGTGAACTAATCTCAGCTTTTCTTTCTAACTCAAAACTAGAGTGGATGCCAGCCATCCTGAAATGAGGATGAAAGAAATTGCAGCATCTGCCCCTCAATTGCTATGGCTGGGGATGTACATTGACTAGCTCAGTACTGGCTTCATGAATACATCCTGTGCAGTTACACAGGGCCCTGCACTTTGTTTAATGCTCTGTTGCCACCATCTTGAAACTTGAAGAGTTTTTTGACAAGGAAACCTGCGTTTTCCTTTGTCATTTGGCCCACACATTATGTAGCTGCTATTATAGGCCATTATAGGAGAGTGACTAAGAAGTCAGGCATGGAGTCGGCATGTCTAGCCCAAATCTCTGGTCTAATTTCTAATAGCTGAGCAATTTTCACAAATGATTTCACCTCTCTAAACCTCAGTTTTACCACATGTAAAGTAATGATAATGATAATTGTACCAACATCACAAGGTTGTTGGAAGAATCAAACATGATAATGTGTTTAAAAAAATAGTGAGTACAGCACCTGAAACATAGGAGGTACACAATAAATAACAGCAATTATGATTTGCTATATTTTGTATATTAAATTTATTCAGCAAAATATTTATTGAGCACCTGCTGTATGCCAGGCACTGTCCTAGACACTTGGGATAAGTCTGTGAATAAAATAGACCAAGATTTCCACCCTTACAGAGTTTATGTTTTGCAGGCCTGGGAGAGGACCTTCACAATAAGCCCAATGAATATAAATAAATGTAATTGGAGGTGAGTAAGAGGTAAATGCTATGGGTAAAGAAAAAACAAGGCAGGATAAACAGGGTAAGGGAATTGGGGAGGACAGTTTGCAGCATCAAATGAGGAGCTTCAGTGAAAAGACTTAAAGGAGGTCAGAGAACTCATCTAGGAGAAAAGTATTCTAGAAGAAGTTTCCTCAGTAATGGAGGGCAATGCCTCCACTAAAAGTAAAGGCCAGATAAGTCCATCCACCAGCAATCCCTCTCCACAGCACAGAGGAAATACATTGTAATTAGTCATTGCTAAACCATTTTATAGAGTTGGAGGTTGCAACTCAGCATTTGCATACATTTATAACACCCAATTAGGGAAATAGTTCATTTTATTAACGTGTAGTTTTGAGGAATAAAAACAGACACAGAACATTCGTTATTTTTATTTTTTATTTTTTTTGAGACGGAGTTTCGCCCTTTCACCCAGGCTGGAGTGCAGTGGGGCGATCTCGGCTCACTGCAACCTTCACCTTCCAGTTTCAAGCGATTCTCTTGCCTCAGCCTCCCAAGTAGCTGGGATTACAGGCACCCACCACCAAGCCCAGCTAATTTCTGTATTTTTAGTAGAGATGGGGTTTCACCGTGTTGACCAGGCTAGTCTTGAACTCCTGACCTCATAATCCACCCGCCTCAGCCCCCCAAAGTGCTGGGATTACAGGCATGAGCCACCATTCACACAAGTATTTAAAATAACCAAGAGAACACTTTCTTCTGAACTGACAAGTCCAGGATGTGAACAACTGGGCCAGCATGGATCATGAAAGATCAAAGGCCAAGTAGGCATTAACAAAGAGAGAAGACCAAGACCAAGCCAGGACCATGGTGCTCCTCTCAGCCACACCTGGCACAGCTTTGTCATGGGGAGGAATTGTTAGAAAGCACCAGAGCCACTCTGTATCCATCCTGTGTGCTATTGATGGTAGGTTTTGCATAGTAAACAGTTTAGAATATTCTATTAATATGTCATTCCGGAATATGGGATCTGCTCTGCTTAAGGTATAATTAAGTAGATGACCAATTGGCAATTACCACCATAATACTGGTATCTGGGCTGAAAAGAATAACGAAGCAACCTCCTTTATAGAATAGATCCTAAACAAGATCTGCTGTTATGAGAGAGTGCCAAATTACCAAGTCAACCAGAAGAGGAGGAGGAAGGCAAGGAGGGCTAGGAGGAGGAGGAGGAGGAGGGGAATGAAAGAAGGAAGGAAGGAAGAAAGGAAGGAAGGAAGGAAAGAAGGAAGGAGGGAGGGAGGGGAGGAGAGGAAGGGAGGGAGGGAAGGAAGAGGAAGAGAGGGAGGAAAAAAGCCACATAAAAATGTTGAATTCCTATTCATACCATTTGAGGCTTGTGTGTGCTGTTAGGGAAACCTCCTACTTTGATGTAAAGAAGATGAGCCACAGACAAATTGTCGACTTATAGAGTGTTTAAAATATAAGTCCAAAACCTAAATATGATGGAGTCAATTTTAAATCTTTTACTGAACAAAAGTAAAAGAAACCATGAAGTGAGTATAATTTGACATTCCAAAGACAATATTCCTGCAACTGATGTATGGGATAATTAGATGTTCACAATAGAAATTTCAACCTGGCATAGTGGTTCCGTCTCTGCAGTAAAATCTTAATAGTTTAAATCCCACTAATGCACACAAGAACTGAGCTAAACTTTACCTTTGTACCATCTATGAGGAAACAGATTGCTTAGCAAATTAAATATGAATAAGGATTTAGATGGGTTATTTAACTTACCAAGAAAGCAAAACACTCCTTAGCAGCGCCACTCACATTTAATGTATTAATTACGGTAAAAATTGGAAAATTGCGTCGGCGTATATTACTGGCTAAAACTTCACTTATTTTAAATACGGTATTGAGTAATTTAGATCACACTTCTTTATTTTAAATTAGTGAACTTTGTATCCTTTTAGGCAGATTCTAGGTCTGGCTAAGGCCCATAGGAAAGAGCATCAGATTGCTTAGTGAGAGTCATCCTCAAGTTAATACAAACAATGATTCTGTCTAGTAATTTCTTCTCAAGCTAACTTGCCGTGAGAATGGAGTCTCTGTTTTCCAACACGTCTTTGAAAACAGCCTCTAAAAGGCTGACATGTGGCAGCTGTCAGGCTCCCACCTGAATTCTAGTTCCCTGGTCATGGAAACTATTTTTAACCAGTTTGCACATTTTTCACTAACAAATGATTTCTCCAGCTCCAGCGTTGTGCCGTACTCATCTGCTTTCCTAAGCACAGTCCACATGCAGGCAGTTGTTCTTGTCATAAATCCGCTGTGCCATTTGGTCTCCTGCGTGATACTGTCTGTGACACATTAGGTGCCTTCCCTCTGCAGTAATACCCTCATTCACCATGCTCAGCCACAGGGTTTGTTTGAGCTGAGCACTGGGGTTAATTGCCCACCTGTCCTCAGCCCTTCTCAAACGTCTTTCATGCTGGCTGAACCTAGGGGACGACTACCCTAAGGGCAGTGCTCAAAGGGAAAGAACAAAGGGAAGGAAATGGCTGGCACTTCATTTTCTTTGGGAATGAAAGGAAGTGGATGATGTAGCCACAAGCTTAGCCACTTCCTCGAATCTGTTCAAGGATAATTGAGGTGCATTAAATCCTTCTGAAAAGAAATGGGAGAGTGTTGAGCTTTACCTGTTCCCCAAGTCAAAGGCATCCCTAGCAAGATAGTCTCTCCCATAACAAACACACACATAAGAACACATCAAGTCCGAAAACATAGAGAGCGACAATATCACTAATCATCAGAGAACTGCAAATGAAAACCACAGTGAGATACCATTTCATACCCATAGGATGATGACTATAAAAAAAAAGATGATAATAATTGGTGAGGATGTAGAGAAACTGGAGCCTTTTTTTTTTTTTTTTTTTTTTTTTTGAGACAGAGTCTTGCTCTGTCACCCAGGTTGGAGTGCAGTGGTGCGATCTCGGCTGACTGCAAGCTCCGTCTCCCGGGTTCACACCATTCTTCTGCCTCAGCCTCCCCAGTAGCTGGGACTACAGGCGCCTGCCACCACACCTGGCTAATTTTTTGTATTTTTAGTAGAGATGGGGCTTCACCGGGTTAGCCAGGTTGGTCTCGATCTCCTGACCTCGTGATCCACCCACCTCAGCCTCCCAAAGTGCTGGGATTACAGGCATGAACCACCGCGCCTGGCTGAAATTGGAGCCCTTTTTCATTGCTGGTAGGAATGAAAAATGGAGCAGCCACTGTGGAAAAGAGGATGGCAGTTCCTCAAAAATTAAATTCCACTTCTAGGTATAAACTCAAAAGCATTGAAGGCAGCATCCCAATAGATAGTTGTATACTCATGGTCATAGCACCATTACACACCAAAGCCAAAAGATAGAAACAATGAACTGTGTTCAACTGATGACTAGATAAACAAAAATACGGTACATCCACACAATGGAATAATATATTCAGCTACAAAAAGGAATGGAAGTGTGATGCATGCTACAACAAGTATGTACCTTGAGGACATTATGCTCTGTGAAATAAGCCAGTCACAAAAGGGCAAATACTGTATGATTCTGCTCATATGAGATACCTAGAATAATCAAATTCATAGGGACAGAAAGTAGTGGTTTCCAGGAGGTGTTGGTGGGGGGAAATGGGAGTCCTTGTTTAAAAGGTACAGAGTTTGAGATAATGAAGAGTAATTTAGAGGTGGATTGTGGTGATGCTTTCAGAACAATTTTTTTTTTTTTTTTGAGTCTTGCTCTGTCAGCCAGGCTGGAGTGCAGTGGTGCAATCTCAGCTCACTGCACCCTCCGCCTCCCAGGTGCAAGCGATTCTCCTGCCTCAGCATCCTGAGTAGCTGGGATTACAGGCACCTGCCACCATGCCTGGCTAATTCTTTGTATTTTTAGTGGAGATGGGGTTTCGTCATATTGGCCAGGCTGGTCTCGAACTCCTGACCTCAGGTGATCCACCCACCTCAGCCTCCCAAAGTGCTGGGATTACAGGTGTGAGCCACCGTGCCCGGCCTTGCAGAACAATTTTGAAATAATGCCAGTGAACTGTACACTTGAAAATGGTTAAAATGGCACATTTTATGATATGTGTATTTTACCACACACACACACACACACACACACACACACACACATACACACACAAAACATGAAGAAGAAATATGAGCAACAGGGCACAGGACTTCAGTAAGACTCATTTCTTTCGCAAAAGGGAAACTTACATTAGAAATTGCTTTTGCCTATTCCTTACAAAGTCAAAATGGAACTTGCCCTTCATTCTTACCGGTTGAAAAATCTTTCACAGAGTATTTGGTGGATTGAATCTTATCATAAAATCAGATAAGAATGTTTAGAAATCCAGAACATTAAAGGAAATTAGACAATTTTACAGGTCAGCTAGATAGAATGTTTTCCTTCTATTTTCATAGTCCATGTCAACTGTTTCCCTGAGAAAGGTGGGTGCAGGGAAGGAACACCTTGGATGCTAGGTGTCAAGGCTTCATGATGGGGAACCACTGCCAGAGGCACAAAGCAGAGGATGAGCCAACACAGAACATGCCACCACTGATACCAAGAGAAGGCAAAGAGAACAGGGCTGTGCCAGGGTCAAGGTGTATCTGGGCTAAGTTCAGCCTTGTTAGGTGAGCACCTTGGGGCTGGGCTTGTTATTTTTAACTAGTTATGCCCTGCCTTCTTTGTGGCTGCCTCTTGTCCATTTTATTTTTATATTTTATTTTATTTTATTTATTTTATTTTTTGAGACAGAGTCTCACTGTGTCACCCAGGCTGGAGTGCAGTGGTGCCATCTTAGCTTACTGCAATCTCTGCCTCCTAAGCTCAAGCCATCCTCCCACCTCAGCCTTCCAAGTGCTGGGACTGCAGGCATATGCCACTATGTCTGGCTAATTTTTTGCATTGTTTGTGGAGATGAGGTTTCACCATGTTGCCCAGGGTGGTATCAAACTCCTGAACTTAAGGAATCCTCCCACCTCGGCCTCCCAAATTGCTGGGATTACAGGTGTCAGCCACCACCTCTGGCCCTATTGTCCATTTTACAAAGGCCAGTCCAGTTAGTGTTTGTCAAATCAGGTTAAATAAGGTAAATTTATCTCTTTATTTTCTATAAATAATGATTTTTAAAACTATGAAAGAAAATTAAACCTGCAGTAACAACTCTTGTCAAAACTTCTGTCGTTGAAAAACTTCCATAGTAACATTAGTCAGAAAGAGAAAGCTTTGAAGTAGAATGATTCATTTATTTTATGCATATAACTGTAGCATGTTACATAATAGGTCTAGAACACGTTTCATCCTATTTGAAGAACATATAGTTCTAATCTCGTGATGTAAAATCATGAACCATTTCATATACAATCACAGACCTCTCTATGGTTGTCTGTACAATTGAGATGGAAAGTCTTTAAATTGTCATGTTTGGGCCTAAGAAACTAAGGGAATTAAAAATATATAAATTGGCATGACAGCAGCTTGATAAAATTGGAGCAATTATTTTTGGTGAGTAGTATCACTGTCCTCTATTGGGTGGTTTTCCAAGTTTTCATTATTAGGGTTCAGCAAACTTAAATGATTTTTCATCTTCGTGATGTGCTGCAGAATTTCACACTCAGCTTTCTGTCAACATCTAAATCAGCATGAAGACAGGATTATCGCTTCTGCTTTCAGTTGGTCCTCTAGCTCAGAGACATTTCTGCTGTTTTTGCAGAAATTTGACCAACATTCCCTAGAAAGCAAAGAACTTCACAAATTTTTTGTTTTCTTTAAAACAACACTTCAAATAAATAATGGTAACAGGGTATAAGTTTAAAAAACTGGTTAAGTTTCACAGTTCTTAAGTTATTTTCATTGTGCAAATTCCCTTCCTGAGCCTTGAAAGCCCACAAAGAATTTCCTAGTGTCTAGAATTGGTGGGTTCTTGATTTCACTGACTTCAAGAACGAAGTTGCAGACCCTCGCAGTGAGGGTTACGGTTCTTAAGACGGAGCGTCTGGAGTTGTTTGTTCTTCCCGGTGGGTTCGTGGTCTTACTTGCTTCAGGAGTGAAGCCGCAGACCTTTGCAATGAATGTTACACAGTTTATAAAGACAGTGTGAACCCAAACAGTTAACAGCAGCAGAATTCACTACAAACAGCAAAAGAATAAAACCCCCACAATGCACAGAGTGACCCAAGTGCATTGCAACCCCCACAGTGCACAGAGGGACCCAAGTGTGTTGCCACCTCCACACTGCACAAGGAGACCGAACTGCGTTGCCACTGCTGGCTCAGGCAGCCTGCTTTTATTCTCTTATCGGGCCCCACCCACATCCTGCTGATTGGTAGAGCCCAGTGGTCTGTTTTGACAGGGCGCTGATTGGTGCGTTTACAATCCCTGAGCTAGACACAGAGGTTCTCCACGTCCCCACCAGATTAGCTAGATACAGAGTGTGGACACAAAGGTTCTCCAAGTCCCCACCAGAGTAGCTAGATACAGAGTGTCGATTGGTGCATTCACAAACCCTGAGCTAGACACAGGGTGCTGATTGGTGTGTTTACAAACCTTGAGCTAGATACAGAGTGCCTATTGGTGTATTTACAATCCCTGAGCTAAACATAAAGGTTCTCCACGTTCCCACCAGACTCAGGAGCCCAGCTGGTTTCACCCAGTAGATGCCGCACAGGGGCTGCAGGTGGAGCTGCCTGCCACTCCCGCGCCATGCACTTACACTCCTCAGCCCTTGGGTGGTCGATTGGACTGGGCGCTGTGGAGTAGGGGATGGCGCTCGTGGGGGAGGCTCGGGCCGCACAGGAGCCCACGGAGCGGGTGGGAGGCTCAGGCATGGCGACCTGCAGGTCCCGAGCCCTGCCCCGCCGGAGGGCAGCTAAGGCCCGGTGAGAAATCTAAGCGGTGAGAAACCGAGCGCAGCGCCGGTGGGCCGGCACTGCTGGGGGACCCAGTACACCCTCCGCAGCCGCTGGCCCGGGTTGCCGGCTGGCTCCTCAGAGTGCGGGGCCCGCCAAGCCCACGCCCACCCGGAACTCCAGCGGGCCCGCAATCGCCGCGCGCAGCCCCCGTTCCCGCTCGCGCCTTTCCCTTCACACCTCCCTGCAAGCTGAGGGAGCCGGCTCCGGCCTTGGCCTGCCCAGAAAGGGGCTCCCACAGTGCGGTGGTGGGCTGAAGAGCTTCTCAGGTGCTACCAAAGTGGGAGCCCAGGCAGAGGAGGCGCCGAGAGCGAGCGAGGGCTGTGAGGACTGCCAGCACGCTGTCACCTCTCACTAGAATAGAAACTACTGAGGTCTTCCATTTCTGGAAACATTGTGGATAAGCTACTCTGGACAACCTGCCTTCTGAAATAACTCGAAATGCTGGATAAGCTTTTGAAAAATCACTGAAAGTGCATCACTGAGCTGGCAATAAAGTAAGAAATCCAGAGAAGCCAAACATAAAGTGAAAAAAGGAATGCAGAGATGTCAGCAAGCAGCCAAGCTGGCTCTCACCCTGGCAGCAGGGCCAAGCCCCAGCAACTTGAAGGTTCGGTTTTGACAGAGGCATGGGGATACAGGGACAGAAAAGCAAAGACACCTGCCCACCCAAGGTGGCATACTTATAAGAGACCCTAATAAAGCCGGGATGCCACAGGACTATTCTCATTGTAAGGGCCTTTCAGAAATAAACCTGCCTTACAGATGGAAACCGCGAGGAAAAATGCTGCTTCCAGCACGGGTTTGGGTGAAAGGGAGGAAAATTCTGCTCCAATTAAAATCGAAAGCTAACTCTTGCAGATTTGCTGCCCAAATTCACCCTACATGAATTGTCCTACAAACTTCAAGCTAATTATTTTAAAGCATCATGGGTTGGTAATACCCCCCAGTAGCCTAGAAGAAGCCAACACAAATACTTGCTGAATGAACCAGAAGGAATTATCTATCAATCCTCAAAAAAAAATTACTAATAAAACATGAACTTATAGTCACACACACACAAACATACACACACACACCCAACAAAGAAATAAGCCACCACATGCAAGAGCCAGCAGAAACAACACATAGCAAAATCAAACTCAGGATAATTTTAGATTTTGGATAATTTTAGATTTAGATACGGGCATAGACTAAAAATTAAGCATGATTTAACTATTTGAAAATAGAAAAGTGATCAAAGCATGAATAAGAGACAGTAAAACAAATAGAGCTAGGGAAAGGAAGGAAATATTCATGTTATTTATAAAATATAACGATATATTTATATGCCCCATATCTATTTATTTATAAAATATAAATATATTTATAAATAAATATTTATATATAAATTATAAATATATTTATAAATAAATATTTATATATAAATAAGTATAAATATATTTATAAATATATAATTAAATATATATTTATAAATAATATAAATATAAATATATGTTTATTTATGAAATATAAATTAACATGTAAAGCCTGAAGGACTCACTAATGGTGGATTAGACCCAGTTCAAAAAAGAAATTAGTGTGGTGGCTCATGCCTGTAATCCCAGCACTTTGGGAGGCCAAGGCAGGCGGATCACCTGAGGTCAGGAGTTCAAGACCAGCCTGGCCAACATGGTGAAACCCCGTCTGTACTAAAAATACAAAAATTAGCCAGCATGGTGGCAGACGCCTGTGGTCCCAGCTACTTGGGAGGCTGAGGCAGGAGAATCTCTTGAACCTGGGCAGTGGAGGTTGCAGTGAGCCAAGATTGCGCCACTGCACTCCAGCCTGGGCAACAGAGCGAGACTCCATCCCCTCTCCCCAGCACAAAAAAAAAAGAAGAAAGAAAAGAAATTAGTGAACTGGAAAACTGATTTGAAGAAATTACTCAAAATGCAACATGGAGTGACAAAGAAATGAAAAAATGTAAACAATTAATAAGGGTCTCAGAGACTAGAAAGAACAGAGCTCGTATACACCCAGCTGCAGTTTATTAATAGAATAGAGAGAATGAGAGAGAGAGGAGATGTTTAAAGAGATAGAGGTTCCAAAATTGTTGCAAGATATCAATCTTCAGATTTTAAAATCCAAACAAAATATAGTGGACATATATATTAGAGTCATGTCATTCTCTGCTTAAATATAATAACCATTTATTGATAGAGTACTATGTGCCAGGCATTATCACAGTATTTTATATATGGAGTGACTTCGTAGTCAGACTCAGGCATGCAAAAATGTGTCTTTATCTTTGAAAAACTCGAGGCAATGTTCTGTCTCCAAGCTGTATTCTGTCTGCTGGAGATACTTAATTCAGTTGCGTCCATGGGAACTCAGTCCATTTGAGTGAGTGAATTCTGGGTCAATTCAGACTTGCAACTCAGTCACTTTCAGGTTGAAATTTCCCTCTTGCTTGTTCCCCAGCCTTTGTCCCCACAAAGTGTGGAGTTGTCAGCTTTGTACCTAAGTCAGTAGTTTTCAACCCTGGCTGCCTATTAAAATCAGCCAAGATGCTTTTGAAAAATACCAAAGACCAGTCTCCCCGTGTAGATATTTTGATCTCAAAGGTCTGGGGTGGAACATTCTGCAAGGCTGAAAATCCCTGATCTAAGCATGAGATGGGCTCACTACCACAGGTCCACCTGACCTCGTCTGGTTCTTGCCCAGCCGGTGAGCAGCAGCCTTCTCAACTTTAACACGCACATGAGCTCCTTCCGATCTTTTTAAACTGTAAATTCTGAGACAGAAGCTCTGGGGTAGGACCTGCAATTCTGCATTTCTAACACATGCCCAGGTGATGCTGATGCTGATGCTGCCAGTCTTTGAGCACCACACTTTAGGTAAGTAGCAAGGGTGCACAGAACAAACTGGATCCGTGGTTCCCAACCTTGACTCCACATTGCAATTACATGGGGGTGTCTTCCCTCGGGGTGCCATAACAAAGTACTGTAGACTGAGTGGCTTATAAACAACAGAAATTTATTTCCCACAGTTTTGGAGGCTGGAAGTCCGAGATTGGGGCACCCACATGGTGGGGTTCTGGTGAGGGCCCTCTTCCATTGCAGACTTCTCCTCGTATCTTCACATGGCAGAAAGAGAGCTGGCTAGCTCTTGGTCTTTCTTTCCTTTTTTTTTTTTTTTTTTTTTTTTTTGAGACAGGGTCTCTAGGTTCTCACTCTGTCGCCCAGGCTGGAGTGCAGTGGTGTGATAATGGCTCACAGCAGCCTCGCCTCCTCGGTCCAAGCGATTCTCCTGCATCAGCTGCCTGAGTAGCTAGGGTTACAGGTGTGTGCCACCACACCCAGCTAACTTTTTGTGTTTTTAGTAGAGACAGGGTTTCACTATGTTGGCCAGGCTGGTCTTGAACTCCTGACCTCAAGTGATCTGCCTGCCTTGAACTCCCAAAGTGCTGGGATTACAGGTGTGAGCCACTGCGCCTGGCTTCTCTGGTCTTTTCTTATTAGGGCACCAGTCCCATCTTGAGGGCTCCACTCTCATAGTCTAATCACCTCCCAAAGGCTAAACACCATCACATCAGGATTAGGGTTTCAACATATAAATCTGGGGAGTCCATGGTAAGGAGCTTTAAAATATAGTACAGTCATGCCTTGGTATATGCGGGGGGTCAGTTCCAGAATGCCCCTCCACCACCACATAACCAAAATCCATGCATGCTCAGGTTCCATAGTCAGCCCTGAGGAACCTGCATATATGAAAACTTCCTATTCTCGAGTTTTCCGTCCCGGGAATACTGTATTTTCCATCTACTTGGTTGAAAAAAATCCGTGTATAAGTGGAACCATGCAGTTCAAATTTAGGTTGTTCATGGGTCAACCGTAATGCCTGCATAGCATGGTCAGAGATTCTGAATGATGAGACCAGAGCATGGCTCAGCACTGAGAATTGCCGAAGCTCCCATGATGGAGAACGTCTGCTGTAGAAGATGGCCTAGGAAATCTACCGATGCTGACACTGCTTCCCCTGGGCTCCCTGGTTCTGGGGATCTGCTCAGATGACAGCTGCCACTCTAAGACCCCTGCAGGCCCAGGGGCCCCTCACTGCTGTTGTCTCTCTCTCACACTCTGCTGACTTCTTCCTCCCATTGAGGACCTTGGGAACTTTGAGACTTGCAGCAGTCACCACTCTCTCATTTGGGAGATACAGGAGTCCTAGGGCAGCCAGTGATCACTCACCCTGGTCTTCACCATCCTTAGGACAAGCGACTCTAGGATGTCTCAATGGGCCTGTGGGAGAGGAGACTTCTCTCACATCCTCCAAACTTCACACTGAGGAGGCTGCTAGGACCTTTGCTTTCCCTCTCAGATTTGCCCTGGCAGGACGAGAAGACCCATGTCTAAGTTTTCTTGATGTTTCCAACTCTCATCTTCCTCCCTGGATCAGAGACAGGGCTCTCTATCTCACTGGGGATGGAAAGCATGGAAACTCTTTTCTCCCTGTTCACATCCCCTTTTATAAGTGTTGTCTTACAACATCAAGGTGCTTTTAAATTTAAAAGCAAAGCAATTGGTACGGAAACACAGAATGTGTGTGACTTAGCCAAGGATGCTTGATCAGTAGGTGAAGATACAGGAGCAGGGAGCTCACTCTTGTCACTGCCACCCCCAGGGGTGTCACACCAGCCTCCTCGTCACCTTCCTTGTCACCATGCCCTATTTTCTGAGCTAACATCTGGTACCTTTAAACTCTACATCAACCCTCCACATGTAGCTTAGGGTGCTTTAGAAGGCTGAGGACGGAGAAGAAACTGAGTTCACCAGTCACAGAAGAGAACATATTCTCTGTTCCTTTCTTGTCACTCATTCTCATTCTTTTTGCCTCACACTATTCATTCATGTATGAGAACAAAGGACATTCTCCCCAGAATCTTCTAGCCATGTAAGCAAGTGAACTTAAAAAAAATGGTATATTTTTAAAAGATTAATGAGTTCATCATGGCCCGAAAACCAAAATCTTGATGCTGAAAATCAAAATCTCTGTCAAAACCTTCATTCTGGTCATAAATATTCCTGATGCTATATTATATGTAAAAAACTGGGACATAGAAATGTAGGTGTATTAACTCAAGATTAGAGGAGAGAGGAAGGCCTGTGCTCACATTAAGAATAACTACTTGGCATTACAACGTCTTATTTCTTTTACAGTCATATAGGATTGCCAGGCTCTAGTCAACAGTGATGTGAATTCAGCTGTGAGTCAAAGATATTTTTATAATTCATAATCTTATATATATTTTTGTTTACTTGTGGCAAGGAATGATGTTGAGTAATTCCAGCTGTGTCTACACAAGGCAAATATCCTACGCTGAACGATACCGTATGGCTGACAAAAGAGTGTGTGTGTGTGTGTGTGTGTGTGTGTGTGTGTGTGTGTGTGTATGTGTATGTTTTTCATGTTCCACAGATCCCAAGTATAAGGAAAGATACGATATGAAAATGTTTTGAAACAGATAAAATTTATCTCTTTATGAAATCTCTTAGAAGCAAAAATTTAAGTCACTAAAACAGTAATTCTAGAATCAGAATTTTTAGAACTGAAGATATGTGTTGCAGGAAGCTTTGTTGGCCTCATTTCTTGCCCAAAAGCTGTGGAAAGTTAAGGAAAGTCGAGTGAGATAATAAAGCTCTTATTGGCTCAGGGACTCAGATACTGACAGTTAACAAAGTCAGTGTAGCCCTCTGGGTTCAGGAAGGGCTCACCTCATTGTTACTAGAGAGAGATTATTTTCTATGTTTCATGACATCAGAAAAATAAGTTAGTCATAAGCCTTTCCTTACTACACTGCATATTTTTGTGTTTAATGTGAATATTTAGTATTTAATATTCACATTGTAATTGCAGTATATGTAGCTGTGTGCCTGAATCTATGTCTTTTCAGTGGTTATGATTTCAAATGTCTCCCACATATGGCATGATAAAGAATTATTAACAAGTGCTAGTGAAAAGAAACATCCTTTATGTTTATGAAGCTTGTTAGACGTAGACGTTCAAAGCATGTCTCTTCTATCTTCAAATGACCCCTTAAAACTATACATTCCCTGCTTAAGACATTTTCTTGTTAGGAATTAAAGAACACCCATGTGAAATGAAAATCAATGTGTTCATGTGACAAAGGCCTAATGGCCATTGATTAATTCTATTTAAATCCTATTGCTGAATTTAGGACCAAAATATGACTCAGGGGACACAGGATGATGGGACAACAGGGGTTGGGGGACTGCCTACATAGGCTGGAACTTCAATGGATTTTCCACCAGCCTCTGCCTTTTCCCTCTACTGCAAAAGCTGGAAAGAAATGGGGACTGACTGATGCTATGGTGGGTAAAACTTTCCTAAACACCATTGGGAGGAAAATAAATTACTCTCAATCTTATATTTCTAGAGCCAAACACAGTTGACCCTTGAGCAACATGGGCTTGAATTGCAGTGGCCCACTTATATGTGAAATTTTTTCAATCAAAGTTACACCATGTACCTGTCCCTCCTGCTTCCCGTTCCACCTCCTCCACCCCTTCTGCCTCTGCTACTCTGAGACAACAAGACCAACCCCTCCTCCTCTTCAGCCTCCTCAAGGTGAAGACCATGAGAATGAAGACCCTTATGATAATCCACTTCCACCTAATGAATAGTAAATATAGCTTCCCTTCCTTATAATTTTTTTAATAACATTTTTTTCTCCAGCTTACTTTGTTGTAAGAATAAAGTATATAATACATATAACATACAAAATATATGTTGATTGACACATATATAATAGGCAAGGCTTCTGGTCAATAGTAGGTTATTAGTAGTTAAGTTTTGGGGGAATAAAAGTTATACATGGATGCCAACTGTGAGTGAAATTCCATCTGGGGGCGCCCCTAACTCCCATGTTGTTCAAGGGTCAGCTGTACACCCAGCATCCCTCAATTTAAGGCCTATCTGCTTAATCACAACAATTCAATCATAGCTGACATGCTTCTGCCTATTATAGAATATCTGCTCAAGAATTGTGTCTGCTTTGTTGTATCCTTAATACTTAGTATGGAACCATGTACACAACAGATGATCTAAAAGTCTTTGTTAAATAAAAGAATAAATAGATTTTCATAGAATCGAAAGACTGGAAATCTACCGATGCAGGAAATCTGTCCCTTAGTGTGTTTTCAGCTGCAGGTAACAGAAAACTCAAAGTAACTTCAGAGCTGGTCAACAGAGAAATCCCATGATACCATCAAGGCCTGGTGTTTCTTCATTTCTCACTCTGCCCTCCAGAATGTTGACTTCATCCTGATTATCTTCTAGATTTCAGGGTGACTTCTTCGAGGAAATGAAGCTACAGGATTCCCTATCTGTGTTTGGAGAGAAAGAAGCTGCCAGGAGTTCTTCCTTTCAGCCAAATTGAGCCGAATCAGGTCACCTGCCCCTTTCTTAATCATTATCTGACCACTCAGGTCTGGGTCCCTGATGCAGCCACACATCGGGGGTACAGGATTAACATGACTGATTTAACCTGATCAGCATCTACTCTGAAACAGATCTCTTTTGCACAACTTATTGCTCTTCTGCAATGGTTGAGAAAGGGGATGGAGTTGGGGAATCAACTGCAATGTCCACCTAGAGGAAGAGGTGCCACTAGAGATTTAGATAGATTGTTCACATCCAAATAAAGTGATGGTTGTCACATTTTTCCAATCAGTGCTGGAATTAGTAGTGTCTCTTTACAAATATGAAAAATATCTCCAGCCAGGCGCGGTGGCTCACGCCTGTAATCCCAGCACTTTGAGAGGCCAAGGTGGGCAGATCACCTGAGTTCGGGGGTTCAAGACCAGCCTGGCCAACATGGTGAAACCCTGTCTCTACTAAAAATACAAAAATTTGCCAGGCGTGAAGGCGGGCACCTGTAATCCCAGCTACTCAGGAGGCTGAGGCAAGAGAATTGCTTGAACCCAGGAGGAGGAGGTTGCAGTGAGCCAAGATCGTGCCACCGTACTCCAGCCTGGGCTGGGCGACAAAAGCGAGACTCCATCTCAAAAAAAAAAAGAAAAAAAGTCTCCATCAAAGGTCTATGCTATGGATACCTAGAGTGCTCTTCAATGCCACAAAACAGATGAGCAAGTCTGGGGTTTAAATTATGGCTATCGTTTTGTTACTATTGTTATTATGGCTGGGGACCCAGAAACTAAGTGTTCCTTTATTAATCGATTCAGAAGAGCTTGAGCCTAAGACAAGACTCCGAGAAAATGGGTATCTGTGCTTCAACGGCTCTTCTAAGTCCCTCTAGATTTTAAATTCTGGGCAAAGCATACTCAGATGAGAAGTACAGAGAGAAAGCTCAACAGAACAAGCCAGTTCTGCAGAGAAAATTACTCACTGCTACTTGCAAGGAGGACAGACAACATAAATGGAATGAATGGACAGGGCTGGGTTGCCCCCCAGGAGTCAGTTCTTGCCTGGGTCTAAGACAAGAAACACAGAGTAAGAAGATAGCGTTTGTGCATCTGTCTTTGAGTCACACTAATCTCACCCATTAGTAAAATACAGCCCAATGAAGCCCAAATACACACAATAATATTACCAACTTCTCCTCCCTTGTGGGGGACACAAACGAAGTCCTGGTATTAGACGTTCCCCTCTAGGAGATATTACCAATTAACTGATATCTACAAAGCACTTGACAGTTTATATTCACAAGCACTTTCTGAGTTTTTCTTCTCCCTTATTCTGTGCACAGTGACAACTACTGCCCATTTTACAGATGAAGAGACTGAGATTCAAGACTAACCAGATTTCATCAATTCCACTGCATGTGCTCATGGGACACTAAGCTCTGAAAAAGGAAACCAAACTATCTAAATTTAGAATAATTTGTTTAATAATTGCAAAGGGAGGAAGTGAACAACAAGGGTCAGCTTGTCTAGAAACTCGCTCCTCAAAGTGAGCTCCAGGGACCAACGGCACCAGCATCACACCTGAGACCTTGTTAGAAATGCAGAATTTCAGGCCCCAGCCCAGACCTGGTCCATTAGAATCTGGATTTTAGTAAGTATTATAGTTTAGTAAGTATTTTAGTTTAGTATTACCTAGAGGATCTGAAAGCACATTAAAGTGTGGGAAGTATGTATCTAGAAGGGTCTAGAAGAGATGGCATACTGTCTGGGGCATTTTATCTTCTACTGGAGATCAGGAAGTGGGAGACCCAAAGGACAGGGTATACTGCAAGGACGCTGAATGGATGGACTTGAGGATTCAGGGGTGGCAGGATGCTTTCTGGGGAGTCAATGATGGGCACTAGACAGTCATACAGCACAGACTAAGGTCTCCTACACTAGCTTCTGCCTCTGTGTTCTGGGAATTTCAGTGCTGCCCAGACTGATAAAACACTCCACGGGAGAGACTCTGGACATATTTTTGTTGATGCAAGGTTGGCAAGGCAATTATTCAGCTATATCTTGGTCTTCACCTTTGCTCATGCAAAGTCTGTTACCATGATTGCAAAAATCTTTGCAAACTGCAGGTCAAACTCTCCAGGCAACAGGTAAGGAGATTTTTATATTTTCTCTTTTCTCCCTTATATAAAAGGAGAGGCAAGAGTATTTCCTCCTGCAGATTGTAAATTAGTTCAGGCCCTATGGAAAGAAGTTTGCAGATTTCTCATAGAACTAAACATAGAATTACCATTCGACCCAGCAATCAATCTCATTAATGGGTATATACCCAAAGGAAAATAAATCATTCTACCAAAACACACATGCACATGCATGTTCCTCACAGCACTAGTCACAATGGCAAAGTCATGGGATCAACCTAGGTGCCTATCAACAGTGGACTGGATAAAGAAATTGCGGTACATATACAGCATGGAATACTACTCAGCCATACAAAAGAATGAAATCATGTCCTTTGCAGCAATGTGGATGCAACTGGAGGTCTCTATCCTAAGTGAATTAAACACAGAAACAGAAAACCAAATAACACATGCTCTCACTTATAAGGGAGCTAAACATTGGGTACACATGGGCATAAAGATGGAAACAGTATACACTGGGGACTCCAAAGGAAGGGAGGTGGGGAGGGGAGCAGGGATTGCAAAACTACCTATTAGGTACTATGCTCCTTACTTGAGTGACAGGGTCAGTCACACCCCAAACTTCAGCATTACACAATAAGCTCATGTAACAAACTTGCACATGTACCCTCTGAATCCAAATTTTTTTTTAAAAAAAGAATATTTCCTCCTACAGAAGTGGTAGCAGTTATGACCTAGCTTCACCATTTCCCGAGGCAAGATGAATACACTTAAATCTCTTTTCAAGAAAAGTTATCCCAAGAAGTCCACAGTGTGCAAAGCATGCAAAGGGATGATAATAATAATCATAGAAATCAAGCCTTCCAAGAAAATTGGATTTTAATAACTGCTCTTTAAGGCTGGCATAGCCATCTGATGTCAGGGAGGGACCCAGCATATACCAGAGGACCAAATGCTAAAGAGAGTCAGCATTTCTGCTCAATTACCTTCTCTAAGTTCACACAAGGAATTGTATTTCATTTTTATGCTTCACAAAAACGCTCAGAAAAGACAGATTTCTAAAAGCCAAAATATCCCCCTCCATAAAAAGCCCTTTCACATAATCAAGGCTTTTATTTCGGCTTTTATTTCAGCTTTTACAATACTCTTTGCCCTTCTGTGCTTTGTCCTGAAATCTTATAAAACCAAGATTTGGCTCTTTTATAATTCATGGCATGTGATGTTCTTGGCCCTTGAAATTTCTTTAGAAAAAAAAAAGTGATTACATAGTTCAATTCTGTTGCATGGGGCAGAGAGTCTTTATTTTTCTATGAAAGTCAAGGATTTAGACTTTTCCTGATAAAGTCAGGTGCCTGTATACTGCTGTCTCAGAGCAAAGTCAAACAAAGGAATATAATCAAGTGTCACTATTTTGTTTAACTAACTGGGGATGAGACCAGAGTAAAGCAATAAAAAGTTTGAGTTTTGGACTCCACTTTAAAGAAATACAATTTTATTGCTTTCAAGTATATAGAAAATTCAAATTAGGCCAATCAAGCAGTGTCAGATAAAGGTCTTTTGAGGATTTTCTTTAGCAAATAAACAAGGAAGAAGTGTAATGATCACAGTTCACTGACTAATTAACATTCTCCATTACACGGGTTTGTTATTATTACACTAATGCCACTGGTTTATTATCAGCTCACCAACAATCCTGATTTATTTTTATTCCATAACAATCCTGCTTCTATAGCAAAACTCTCCAGTTTGTTCATTTCAGTGATTGTAAAATTTTCCGTTTAATCTTTTTTACACTTTTAATTTGCCCAGCAAAGGTTGATTTCAAAGGTTGATTTACCACTTTATAGTCAAGGTTTAGAGGAAGACAATGGGTCTGTAACTAAATCATTTTTAACTCTAATTTGATGATTTTTTTCAATCAATGTGGTTTAGTGGTGGGAAAAAATGAAAAGAAGACCTGAGTAGAAATCAAATTATTTACCCTCCCTGATTTTATTTCTTCCTCAGATTGGGATTGCAAGATACCTCAAAAGATGGTGTTAGGATGAAATAGGATTAATGTATATGAGTATTTTGCTTACTGCTCTGTTGACAGAGAAGCACTATTCAAATGTTGGATATTATTATTAGTAATACTTTAAACTCTGGATTAATGAAGCCCAAGTTAATGACTTTTATGTATGAAAAAAACTTGTTCAGTCAGATATTTTTCTATGATGAATCATTCCTTTTCAGTAAGGAAGGTTATTGGTAATTCCCCTATCTTTCTCAGGCCTTTAGAGCGCTACCCTGTTTGCAAAGTATTACCCATGGTTTAGAAAAACAAACCTCTTTTTGGGGATCCAAATTAAGGTCTACCTTCCCCAAGAAGTGTGCTGTGATTACTTCATTTCAGTTCTTTCTCTGCCTCCTCTGATTGACTACACCCCGCAATTGGATGAAATTTAACAAACACAGACAGTATTGACTTAACAACTTTTCAACTTTATGATGGTGCAAAAACAATATGCATTCAGTAGAAGCTGTACTTTGAATTTTGAATTTTGATCTTTTCCCAGGCGGTACGACACTGTCTCATATAGCTAGGCGGTGGCAGCTCCCAATCAGTCACTCAATCATGAGGGTAAACACCTGATACTCTACAGCAGGCTGTGTTGCCCATGATTTTGCCCAGCTTTAGGCTAATGTAAGTGTCCTGAGCACATTTCAGGGAGGCTGGGCTAAGCTATGATGTTCAGTTGGTTAGGTGTACTAAATGCATTTTCGACCTACAATGATTTCAGCTTCAGATGGGTTTATCAGGACATAGTTAAGTAGAGGAACATTTGTACTGAAAACGCTCTAAGGTTAAGACACCATCCTGGGTGCTGGGGTAGGCTGTGAGGAGTGAGAAGTTCATGGGATCAAATGTGAAGAGAGGGCCAAAGGACAAATCCAACGGAGAACCTCTCCAGGCCCCAGAATTCATAATCTACTGAAGGGCAAACGTCGGACATTTATACCATATGAGGCAAGTAGTGGTAAATGCAAAATAGAAATATAAAATGTTGAGTGTACAGAAAGAAGAGATTCATTGTGACTGAGAGCATCTAGGAAGCCTTCTTAAGGAGAGGGGATTCTAGCTGAGTCTTGAAAGGTGTATTCGATCTGGGGAAGAAGTTTGATCTGTGGTTAGATCCAAGCTGCTGGATCTGGGGTGGGATTGCAGAACACTGGGGAAAGGAAGGAAGCTGGATCATGGAGCGTCTAGTGGGATGGACTGTTGATGCAGGTAGAGACCTGCATCCCTAAACCAAAGTGTGCCAAGTATCACCATTCTTTACTCTGCTTGAATCAACTTAACCTAGACTCTGAGCTTCTATGTCACCAAGCAGGTGGAAGTCCCATCTCTGCCATGACGGCTTACAGAGAGCCATACTCTCTGTCCCTGGGAGTATAGAGTGCTTGTAGGGACCACAGAAAAAAGGGGCAGAAGCCTCTATGCTCCAATCCACCACAGTCAGCACTGAGGTCTTCAGAGCCAAAGCCTGGGAGATCACATGAACACTTGCTCCTTTCAGATGGAGAGTGAGGAAAAGGCATCTTTGCCTTGGCTGGCATCCCAGGCTGCAGTTCAGCCTCTCTAGACCCAACATGCAGCCTGGGACTGCCTGGGACTTTACCCAAGAGGCAGCCACTCCCAGGACTTCTATCTCTTCTCCACTTGGGGAAAATCACCGCCTCTCCCCTCTTCTAATTTCTAAGACAATGCTTTTATCTTCTTCCCACCTCAGGGATTGCTATGGTTGTAAAAGTCCATCTAGGCTGCTATAACAGAGTCCCATAGACTGGGTGGCTTCAAGAATAGACATCTCTTTCTCACAGTTTTGGAAGCTAGAAAGTCCAAGATCAAGGTGCTGGCTTATTCAGTTCTTTGCAAGGGCCTTCGTCCTGGCTTGGAGACAACCACCTTCTCGCTCTGTGCTCACCTGGCCTGACCTGGGTGGCAAACAGAGCTCTCTTCCTCTTCTTCTCAGGGCACTAATACCATCATAAGGATCCCATTCTCAGGACCACATCTAAACCTACTTATCTGCCAAAGGCTCCCCTTCTAAATATCTTCATATGGGGTTACAGATTCAACACAAGAATTTCAGGGAGACACAAACACTCAGTCCAAACAATAATATGTGCAATGAGCTTAGGTTTTTGTAAACTGCAGGAATGCTGTCAGCTCTGCAGTGCAAGGAATAGGAACAGCCCAGCTGTTTGTTTGAAACGGTTGGAAGAGTGGAAATACAGGAAAGAAAGCTCGAGGTAACAGTATCTCAGGAAAGAAATTAGCCACATGACTTATAGCTTTTCTCATATGGCTGTATTTTGCTGTTACTTCCCCTTTTATTTGGATGAATTTTCAACCCAACTGTATCATATATACCTTGAGGCCAATAAATATGCTTTACATCTTTTCATCCCCTGTGGCACTCAGGCAAATTGTATGATTGGAGAAAACACTGATGAATTTTCGTTGAGTGACAAGAAATGAATGTTCTCCGAGCCTTCCAAGCATGCTACCCAGGGCTGACTCTATGTGGAAAGCAGTCTATGGCTCCTTGTGAATATGGCATTTCCAACCATGTCTCAACACACACACAGATGTACACACACACACTCCTTAGAGCACACATCAATAAATAAATAAGGATCTCAAAGTCACAGAAGAGTTTCTCATTTTGGATGTTATTTCCCTTTTAGCTTTAGGTGATGGAGAAAGTGGCGCTTATTATCACTGCAAAATGTTCTAATTTGCTGTGTGACCTTCATAGGGTAATTTACCCAATAGAAAAGGTATCAGATGTAGAAGACTATGGTCCCTTGAAACCACATTTCCAAAGGTTGCTGTAGTTGAGAGTCAGGAGGAACAATAAGTTGGATAAGTCTTCATTATCATTATGATTTAAAGCCAGTCTATAAGATCCCCTTCTTCTCTACGAAAGCACACACCAACTAGAATACACACACACACACACACACACACACACACACACATCAACTATAATTCTAAATAGACATTGTATTAGTTTCCTATGGATAGAAATAAATTTGTTGTAACATTACTGCAAACTTAGTGGCTTAAAACAACAGAAATTTATTTTCTCACAATTTTGGACTCCAGAAGTCCAAAATCAGTATCACTGGGCCAAAATCAGGGTGTTTGCAGGGCTACGCTCCATCCAGAGGCTCTAAGGCAGGATCCATTCCTGGCATCTTTCAGCTTTTGGTGGCTCTGGTATTCCTTGGCTTGTGGCTGCATCTCTCCCATCATCCAGATCAGCATTATCGAGTCTCTCTCTGCTCCATCTTCACATTTCCTTCTTTTCTTGTGTCAGATTTCTTTCTGCTTCCCTCTTATGAGGATACAGGTTATTGCACTTAGAGCCACCTGCATAGCCCGGGACCATCTCGTGATCTCAAGATCCTTAATCACATCTGCAAAGCCCCCTTTTTCTTACCACATCAGGTAACATTCACAGGTTCCAAGGATTAGGATGTAGATATTTTTTGGAGGCCACTTTTCATCCTACCGCAGAGGTGTTCTTATACCAACTCTAGAGCTCCCCTAAACTTTAATTATTAACAGGACAATTATCCAGTGTGTAGACTATTTGGACATTTTGCTTTTCTATTTTGTTATTCTCTGGCCTTTCTGGGCCACATTGTTCTAAGAGTAGAGAGATGAAACTCAAAGAGTCAATTTAACAATTAAATTAATAAAAGGTTGATGAGTAGCTTTTCCTTGCATTGCAGCTCTGACAAATGGTTGATGAGTAGTTTAATTAGTTGACTAAAATGAATATAATATTACCTGGGATTTGTTTATTCCTTGCTCATTTTAACTTAGATAATCAAGAATCAATAATAGAGAGAGAGTTGGGAACCCAAAAGGTAGATCAAATAAATCATTCATTTTCTTTTTGTATTTTCTTTAGGCTCTTCTCTTGCTAATTTCACAAATTATAAATTAATGAACCATGCAGAAGTAGACTGTGAAATCTGTCCTCATGGGCAGGAGTCTCAGTTCTGTTTCTGTTTACTCTGGAATTACTCTGGCCAGTCACTGTGGGAAGTTTGAAAAATGAAAAGAATGAATCTATTTATTTCTTTATATTACACTAGGATTTTTTAAACATAATGGATCTAATGAATTCAGTTTCTCTGTTTAACAAAAACTTCAGAAAAAGTATGCTAAGTGCTTTTGTATTTCTAATAAATATTTAATGCTGTGGTTTTAAATGCTTATAAATTCATTCATTCATTCATCTGTGTATTCGGCCACTATTTACTCAATGCCAGCTGTGTGTTTGCCACTGTTCTGGTCACTGGGGTACCTTAAAAGTCTGAATGTGCCTTGTAGTATTCTTAAAGCAAAGCTTAAATACTGGGAGAATCTAATTTAATTTATATGAGTTGGTTTGCACTCCTAAGGTCCTAGGAAGAAGGATGTTAAAGAAATCTAAGTCAACATTGGCCTTGTCTCACTCCTTTAGGTATCAGACAGCTCTAGCAATGCTGTGTTGTGGACAGAAGTGCCTCTTTCCAACTCCCACTAACCTGGCTTCATTGGATAAAAAGCTCTGATATGGTTTGGCTGTGTCCCTGCCCAAATCTCATCTTGAATTATAGCTCCCATAATCTCCATGTGCCATGCGAGGGACCCCGTGGGACGTAATTGAATTATGGGGGCCGGTTTTTCTTGTGCCGTTCTCATGATAGTGAATAAGTCTCACAAGATCTGATGGTTTTATAAAGGGCAGTTCCCCTGCACAAGCTCTCTTGCCTGCTGCCATGTAAGACATGCCTTTGTTCTTCCTTCACCTTCCACCAGCCCTATGTGAAATGAAGATCTGATCAACAGCCCTGTGTGAAATGAAGATCTGATCAATTAACCAGGTGATTAAATTGATGAAGATAGCCAACCAAAGTTATTCTAACTCTGGAAAGAAATTTTTTACCACCTTCACGTTCTAATAGATGAATCAAATGAATAGCGATTATTATCACATTAGCAGTATAAATGTCTATGTGATTTAGTGTTACGAAGACACACACTTCAATTTTGCCTAGGTATTTTCATTATTCTCTGTACCTCCATCATAGCTCCACTTTGTATGCTTATGATTTTTATTATTATAAATAAGTTATTACTCTGATAAACATTTCTTTATTAAAACTATTTAGGATGGTTGTATTAGGTTGTATTTCGTCTCTTTATTAAGATGGTTGGCTTTCTGAATTACTTTGGTATGCACTGAAAACAATAAATAAATAAATATAACTTAGGAAAAACAGTAGGGCAAGAGATTGAAAGGAAGGTTAGATTTCACCCTCCTGGCACTGAGCGTGTGTTCAACCCAGAAAACAGGAATTCTCTCCTTCTATTCAGAATGACTATGTTTTGGCAGGAAAAACTGCCACTAACTCATTGATTTCTTCACTTCCTGTTAAAAAAAAATAGTGAATATTTCACTTAAGCCTAACTTGTAAGTATCAAGACAAAAATACTAAGACATCGCCTTAGTATTTTTTTGAGTTGACATTTGCACAACTCAAACATCCTATCTACTTTTTAACCAAGAATTGTGTATTATTGAAATTGGGTGGCTGGGTTTTACCTCTTTGCTCACATGTGTTTACGAAAACCACTGAGGGCCAGGCATGGTGGTTCACGCCTATAAACCCAACACATTGGGAGCCTGAGACAGGAGGATTACTTGAGCCTAGGAGTTTGAGACCAGCCTGGGCAATAAAGGAACACCCCATCTCTTAAAAAAGCTTTTTTAAAAAATTAGCCAGGCATGGTGGAGCATGCCTATAGTCCTAGCTGTTTGGGAGGCTGACATGGGAGGATTGCTTGAGCCCAGGAGTTCAAGGCCATAGTGAGCTACTCTCATGCCACTGCACTCCATCTTGGGCAACAGAGAGAAACCCTGTCTCTAAAAAAATAGAAATAAAAATAAAGAAGAGTTGAATACAAATAAGCATTTATTGGGACACAGTTGTCGGTTTCCAGCCTTTGATCATCTTCCATTCCTCCCCCTGAATATTTCTCGCTGAATGATTGGTCAGGTGACAGCTTTAAGACTTAGCTCAAACCCATTGGAGCCTGGCTGTCCAGATGACCTGGTGTGGCTGGAAAGGATTTTGCCCTGCATGGATGTGACACTGTGGGATGATGTCAAGGGCTCTGGGGTAAGCTAGAAACAAGTGGAAACTGGATCTGCCTGTCACTAGCTACTTGGCCGGGGCCAAGAGATTTTTCCCTTTCTGAGCTGCCAATTTCTCCACTGTGAACTGCAGACAGTGGTAAGTACAGTGGTCACTGAGTGGGCGTAGGGGGCCTGCTGAGAGAATTCATTTAACCTGCTTCAAGCTCAGGGAGTGCCCACCTAGTGGGGCTTCTCTGCATCCTGTTCCTCTGGCCCTTGTCCCAGCCCTCTGCACTCTACCATGAGGAAAATTAAACTACTGAATTTTGATTCAGTTTGGGCTGTGTCTTTTAACAAAAGCCCTATCTCTAGCAATCCTGTACTTTGTCCTGGTTAGTGCACAAGGATTAATGTACTGCAGGTCTTACCTTTTCCTTTGGACTGTGAATTCCGTAAGGTCACAGAGTTTGACAAGCTCATCTTTGTCTTCCCGCCATCTTACCCGACACCTGGGGATGTACAGCTGTTTCATAAGTGCATGTTGAAATGAAATAAAATGAATGTAGTACATACCAGAAGGTTGTTTCTTTTAAATAAGAGTATAGTTGAATCTATGCATTCATGCATGCATCAAATTTATATTGGTTATTTCTTGTGTGAAAGATCTCTAAGCTCTCTCCTCAGCTTCAAATATGAAGAAACCTTCTGTTGAGCTGATGAGGAAAAATAAACATAAATTTTTTAAATGACCTGTGTAAGGTAATTAAGCTATTAAAATGTCTTTCAGTACAAAACACTATTATCTATCTATGTATATGTACATTTTCACACCAGGTTCAGACTCTCTTTTCTACTTAGGTTATGGGGAAAAGCTCATCAGCTTCAGTTGAGATTTTCATTGCTTTGAAGAACTCATTCCTAATTTTCATTGTCTTAAAAAATGATAAAAACTTCTTCATTTTTTTTACCACATTTTTTGTCACATGCATTTATTGTCTTCTCTGCAGTCTCGCTATGCATCTCTCAACAGCCTCTTGACTCCACCCTGTTCTTGCATTGCTCCCTCTGGGGGAGTAGAACAATATGGCCAACACTCACGTAGCACTTACTGTGTGCGAGGTATTATATTGTAAGCACTTCACACTTAATAACTCATATTTACCTTCTGAGGTAGGTTAAGAAAAAAAAAAAGGTAGGTAGGTAGGTAGTTTTTGCATCTGCAAAACCCCACTTTGCAGACGAAAAAGTTGAGATTAAGTAACTTGCTCAAACCCCACATCTGGTAAACCGTAGAGCTGGAATTTGAACCCAGGCAGTCTGTCATTAGAATCAGTGCCCATGACCACCATGATCTACAGTCACAGGATACAATGAAGATGGTGCATTGGACACATTTGAATGTAATCCACATGCAGATAAGGTTTGCATATGCTAGTGGGGAAACCCTTTGAATACTACCAGGACTCTGTATCATCTAGTCAATCTGTAACACCCGAAGGGAGTTCACATTTTTGCTATACTGCCATCCAGCGTAATGTCAGCTCTGTATTCAGGCACAGGAGGAGATATAGTTGTGGATACTCAGTAAGTACTTACAAAATATGAAGGATCATTAAACAAGAAAAGCAGATATTAATAACTTCACCTCTGTGGTTGTAATCAGTAGGCTTCCCTTTTATGAGATAAGGAATTACTTTATAATGTCAATGTTGTTTTTCTATATATCTATGTTGGGCTGTTCTTGCATTGCTATAAAGAAATACCTGAGCTGGGTAACTTATAAGAAAGACGTTTAGGCCAGGTGCGGTGGCTCACACCTGTAATCCCAGCACTTTGGGAGGCTGAGACGGGCAGATCACCTGAGGTCTGCAGTTCAAGACCAGCCTGACCAAAATGGAGAAACCCCATCTCTACTAAGTAGTGGCACATGCCTGTAATCCCAGCTACTTGGGAGGCTGAGGCAGGAGAATCGTTTGAACCCAGGAGGTGGAGGTTGCGGTGAGCAGGGATCACGCCATTGCACTCCAGCCTGGGCAACAAGAGCGAAACTCCGTTTCAAGAGAAAAAAAAAAGAGGTTTGATTGGCTCACAAGTCTGCAGGGTGTACCAGAAGCGTGGCGCCAGCATCCGCTTCTACAGAGGCCTCAGGAAGCTTAAAATCATGGTGGAAGGTAAAGGGGAGCAGGGACTTCACGTGGCTAAAGCAAGAGCAAGGAGAAGAGAGCCAGTGGTAGGAGGTGCCACACTCTACAACAACCAGATCTCGTAAGGATTCACTCACTATCAAGAGAACAGCACCAAGCCATGAAGATCCACCCTGATGACCCAAACACCTCCCACCAGGCCCCACCTCCAACACTGGGGATTACAATTCAACATGAGATTTTGAGGGGACATCCAAATGAGATCACTATCCTTGAATGCAGCAGAATGTAGTGATACTCTCGAACTGAGTATAAGTGTCTGCTACTGTACAAAGCATATTACTCATGGCCTCTTTATTTACACTGGTGTGTTGTAATTTAAGTTGGCTGTTGCTATAGTTTGATGTTCAGCCACTTGCAATCTTGGCTAGCTAACATAAACTCAGAAGTTTGGAGTCATACAGAGATTCTTGTTTCCAATATAGTATGTAATATAGTGATTTGGTGTGGGGGTGTCAATTTGATGACTTCAATATCTGTTACCCAAACATATCAAAAAAATACAGTCTGTTTCAGTCTTTTAGACTGTTATAAAGCCAAATGAGGTCATGTCTGTAAACTGCTTTCAGCTCTTTGGTGGAAAATACATTATAAACAGTGTGTCTTCTTCTTATACATAATAACTTGTTGCTGGGGAAGAGCTCAAAATTACCTTACATGGAATATAAGATATTCATGGAGGTATTTGGAAATCTATATCAGTCTCCTTTGTACTTATTTTTGGAAATGGCAATTTTTCCCAAATAAGAAATAGAAACTTATATGGGCAAATGTGGACTGTTAGAATAAAGTTTTCCTTTATTAAAAATTCTTCCCCAAACTAGACAAACAAGTAAAACCAGATAGGATGTGTGTGTGTGTGTGTGTGTGTGTGTGTGTGTGTGTGTGTGTAATTTTTATGAGACAAATTGGGTCTATTGATCTTAGGAGCTATTCAATCACTATATAATCAGAGAAGAAGACAGCTTGATGCTAGTATCTTTGTATGGTGGTTGTTTCTGAACTATACTGTATTGCTTTCCTATCATGCACATTGATATGTACACTGAGGTTCATTCTGCATTTGCGAAATAACTCATGAGCAAGCCAATGTTCAAGATAACTCAAGTGAAAATAACATCATAAAGGTGTAATAACTATCTAACTATATTGGATCCTGGGATGTTGGGAATTGGGAGAGGCCAATCCTGGATGTGCTGGCTCACTAACTGGGATCCTAGGTTGTTTGAGAACCTGGAGGCAATGTCATGAGCAGGCAACATGATCACTCTGACTGACCCGGCAAGGAGGCACCCAAAGTCCCATCAGAGACTTTGGAGATGCCACAGGCAGGTGTGAGGCTGAGATGGACACCAGATGAGTGACAAAGGGCCTGGCACAAAGGGCCCTGCATGGATTTAGTAGAGCATTCCTCAGCCATTTCAGCTGGCTTCTATGCCTACCTGCTTGGGAAGACTTCCCTCCTTGGCAACTTAACAGGGACTAGACAAACTCTGGCCAGATATTTGGAGCACACAGAAGCAGTTCTACAGATCTGTATTGCAATTATTTGTTTTACACAGATAAATAAAAACTGAGATTAAAACTTTGTTCAAGAGAAATAAGTTATTAATCCCCCCAGGATTTTAAAAATTCATTTCTGAATCAATTTCATTAGAACAGAAATAAGTCTACCTCAATGGGACAGATATGGAGAGTAGGCTGAAATGAATGGAAAACTAGATTGCAGTGCTGTCTGGTGGGTGTTGATAACAATGAGGTGCTCCTTCTACCAAAGCAGTGTGTCCAGGGCAGGTGAGATGCTCAGAGATTAGGGTAGGGCAGGACTTCAGGGGGAGCCTGTCTAGCAGGAAAGATAATTGTTCATTTTACAGTTTGACCTCAGGTCTAAAGAGTCTGCTTGGGGCTGGCCTTGAAGAAGGATGCATCGTCCCTGCTTTCTGGCAAAGGTAGACTTTCTTATTTGAATCCTAAAGCCTAAAAGAAAAAGAAGAAAAAGAAATTGTCATTAATAACTGTTGGTGACCTAAAACATTACACGTCACTCAAACTAATATTCCTGTTGAATGTTGTTATCACATGTCACTCAAACTAATATTCCTGTTGAATATTGTTATTTAATTACATTGAAATTATTGACCTGCTTGTTATACTAATGAAAGAAAGAAAAATTGGTAAGTGTAAACCTATCAGTGAAATGGTGCTGCTAACTCAAGGGACTTATCGGTAGAATGACCCCATAAAGTTTTCATCTCAAGTAAGGCAAAGCCATGTAAGGAAAAAATTCAGCCGGGCATGGTGGTTCATGCCTGTAATCCCAGCACTTTGGGAGACCAAAGCAAGAGGATTGCTTGAAGCCAGGAGTTCAAGACCAGCCTGGGCAGCATGGTGAGACCCCTTTTAGTTTATTTTGTTGTTGTTGTTGTTGTTGTTAGTGCTTATCTATGTCTTGTTATATTTTTACCCCAAATACATTATTTGTATTAACTGTTTTCAGTTCATAGAATGTGGATGTATTTCCATGGCAGTAAGTTTTTCTGTACAACCCATATAATCATTTCAATGGGTGCATTATATTCTGTAATATGAATCTCTCATCGTTTAGCTGATCTTAAATTTTAATCTTTTTATTGAACATCCAGGTTTGCTTTCTCTTCTTGAACAAAATACAGATGGTAATTCCTATGTATATCTTTGTTTTCTTGCTTAGTGAGGGTAGAAACAAGGTCTCTTGTTTACTGCTGCATTCCCAGGAATTAACAACGCACATAGTAGACGTGTAGTATAGTAAATATGAACTGAGTGAATTAATGGCCTGGTTATTTCCATAGGATTAGGAGCGGGACTTGATGGTGAGGCAGGCAGCCTGGTGATTGGGGTGGTTGAGCTGCTTGTGGCAGGGACTAGAAGTCATCTAGGTTTGCTGACGCTAGAGATTGCCTGGGAGAGAGGAAGAGGCACAAAACTGGAGTTGACTTCTTCAGATACTTGCTGAATGCCTACTGTACACATAACGGCAGGAAATAAAAATCACTTCCTCTCTTGCTTTGTTTTTCCAAAGCGGTCAGTCTCCCTCCTGCAGGAAACCAAGGTTTGAGGCCAGTTTCAGGCCAGTGTTCCTTGTCCTGTTCACCATTTTATGCCAGCAGTAAGTAGAGAAGAATGGCAAAGGGCCTACCAGATTTAAGTCTCTACCACTTACTGGCTCTGTGACCTTGACTTGCCTAACCCCTTGAACCCTGGTTTTATCTCTGCAATATAGGAGTGATAATAATAGCTAATAATAATAGTTGTTGTACCTTGCAGGGAGTAAGAGATTAATAAGGGTTAACTATTGCTAGCTAATATTATTATGGATTCAGTAAGCTTCCATATGTTCCCTTTCATCCTTTTTCATGAGAGAAAGCCACTGTTAGCCCCAGACACACCAATGTACTGACACATGTATATATGTTGAGTTTTCTAAAACACAATCATTTTATGAATTAGGGACTATTTGCAGCTACAGTGGCTGTACAGTAACACACTCTTTGATTGAGCAGAGAAATTTTTGTTCTTGTTCACCTAGCTTTTAAGTCATGCTTTTTCACCACATAGCTATTAATAAATGATAGTGCCTGGCACCTCGGTGAGAAGAGTCACTATTTACCAACACCCCCACCCCTACTCCTGCCCTCTTACAGTAGGAGAAAAGGTCTGTATGAGCTCGATGGGAAGCTGTTTCTGAGCTTAGGATTGGGAGAACAAGCTGCAAAATGTCAGTTGTGGGGTTCAGAATTTCAACGTATGTTGCTCTTTCAAAATAGAATAAATTGTTCATTTCTTCTCAGCTGACCACAGATGACTCAAAGATAACCCTAAAACCTCGAAGGAGAAGGAAGGGAAGTGAGCCCTGATGCGGAATGAGCAGTATTGTATATTACTGAAAGATGTGGAGCTCTGAATATAAAAAGATAGAGAGTTAAGGGCCAGGTGCAGTGGCTCACACCTGTAATCCCAGCACTCTGGGAGGCCGAGGTGGGTGGATCACCTGAGGTCAGAAGTTTGAGACCAGCCTGACCAACATGGTGAAACCCCATCTCTACTAAAAAAACAAAAGTTAGCCAGGCATGGTGGTGCATGCCTGTAATCCCAGCTACTCAGGAGGCTGAGGCAGGAGAATTGCTTGAACCCAGGAGGCGGAGGTTGCAGTGAGCCGAGACCACGCCATTGCACTCCAGCCTGGGTGACAGAGCAAGACTCTGTCTCAAAAAAAAAAAAAAAAAAAGAGAGAGAGTTAAAAGACAGAGATATGGTTTACTTTAAGAAAAATTCTTGAATTACCCCCCAAAGTTATTTATTTATTTTTTTTGAGATGAAGTTTTGCTCTTGTTGCCCAGGCTGGAGTGCAGTGGCATGATCTTGGCTCACTGCAACCTCCAATTCCCAGGTTCAAGCAATTCTCCTGCCTTAGCTTCCCGAGTAGCTGGGATTACAGGTGTCCATTACCACACCCAGCTAAGTTTTTTTTTTTTTTGTATTTTTAGTAGAGACAGTTTCACCACGTTGGCCAGGCTGGTCTCGAACTCCTGACCTAAGGCGATCCACCTGCCTCAGCCTCCCAAAGTGCTGGGATTACAGGTGTGAGCCACCGCGCCCAGCCCCAAAAGATCTTTAAAATGACATTTCTTAGAATCCCATCAAGTTCAAAAGTGTAGAGTTAGAAGATGAGAGGTATATGTCTCAGGGACTTACCAACTTGAGCAGGAGCTGCAGGCTCCTGGTGGTAGACAGAAGACCAGGTCGTGTGTTCAACTTGAATCTTGGTGATAGGGCAGGTGACCATTCCTCTCTTGAATTTAAGGAGCCATTGATAAAACAACTGTTAATATGTTAAACACCCACCTTGGAGTCACAGAAGAGACTCCAGGCATCGTCCCACCTAAATCTCTATTAGTCGATTGTAAGAAAAACAGGCCATTATAGGTTGAACATCCCTAATCCAAAAATCTGAAATCCAAAATGCTCCAAAATCTGAAGATTTGTGAGCAATGACATGACACCACAAGTGGGAAATTCCACACCTGACCTCCTGGGACAGGTTGCAGTCAAAACACAAGCTTCTTTCATATGCAAAATCATGAATGATGTTATATAAAACTACCTTCAGGCTATGTGTATGAGGTGTGTATGAAACATAAATAAATTTTGTGTTTAGATTTGGGTCCCAACCCCAAGATATCTAATTATATATCATACAAATATTCCAAAATTTGAAAAAAATTCAAGGAGGTTTCAACTCTTTCCAGCTGTCTTCTTCCATCACCTAGAGCAGAGGTTGCTGTCATCATCAATCACTTCTATTCCAAGTCCCTTCTTGGCAAAAGTGTGGGCTGCCAGACCAAAACTGGACTTTCATAAACATATCTGTATCAGCCAAGTGAGTGGCTGCATGGATTCTCCAGAAAAACCACCTTGGTCCCAGTGGACTGTGCCCTATGAAACTCTCTTGACCATCCTCAGAGAAAGATGCGTCTCAGTGTAATTTGGCCCTGTACTACTTCCAAAGACCTTCAGATACCAAGCCACAGCACATCAAAGCTGCCATCAAAATATAATGAGGCTGGTATTCTAAAATGTTCAAAAAAAGAAACCCAAATAATCCAGCCCTTGGTATAAACAGGCTTTTACTCTCAAGTCGGGAAGATAAACTGACACATATGCTTCCATTAAAAGGTTGACAAACTACTAAAAATATAGTGTATGTACTTAGAACGTTTTGCTTTCATCTGTGAGGTCAATATCAACTGGATTTATAATGTTCTGCACTTCAGATATTGACGTTGGAATGAGTGAAAAATAACTATTAAAACGTTTTTTCATTGTACCCTTAAAAACAAAAACAAGAAGGGGCTGACTCTTCTGCAAATTTTGGATACCGTTTAAGACCTCAGAAAGTCTGGAGTGAACCATAGTTTCCAAAGCCTGCTGGCAGCGTCAGCCTAAGAGAGCAAGTGGCATGCACAAGTGACTGAATCAAGACCACAACAAAGTATGGAAGAACTGGGCGGACAGCATCAGGAGTATTGGCAGGAACTTGAAAACCACCAGACTGGTTCCCATTGCAGTGTTCGATAGTCTTTCCTTTGCTTACAGCTGTAGTTTGCTGCTTCCTATGAGGAAGGCCCTCCTTCCCCTCTTCTCTCCTTGTCCACCCCGCTTAGGTGTCTCTTAAATTGATGGTAAATAATGAAAATCCTTGGCAAGGTATAATCATGCCTGATGACTACACTAAGTATGTGCATTTGTATATCCGAGGGTCAGGGCGATGATGAGGGAAACCAGCCCCTCTGTAATCAAAATAACTTGATAACACATATCATATATTATAAATATTTAAAACAGTTAACAAAAATATTTCTGATATTTTACTCCCTCAAGGGCATAGGCCCTTTATTCAACAAATACCATGACTGTCTTTCTTCTAAAATGTATATCTGAATCTCTTTTCAGACACGCACCTCATTTTGTTTATTACCTTTGATTTCAAAATGTACATTTGAGACCGGCGCAGTGGCTCACACCTGTAATCCCAGCACTTTGGGAACTGAGGTGGGTGGATCACTTGAGGTCAGGAGTTCGAGACCAGCCTGGCCAACATGGTGAAACTCCATCTCTACTAAAAATACAAAAATTAGACAGGCATGGGGGTGCACACCTGTAGTCCCAGCTACTTGGGAGGCTGAGGCACAAGAATCTCTTGAACTCAGGAGGCGGAGGTTACAGTGAGCCAAGATGACACAACTGCATTCCAGCTTGGACGATAGAGCAAGACTCCATCTCAAAAAAAAAAAAAAAAAAGTATGTTTGAATCTGGTCTCAAAATGTGTACTAGAGTTTGTATTGTATGTTTATTAACTTTTGAGTCCAAGGATTCTTTTCTTTGTAGACTGCAAAACAATTTCTAGAAAGGTGGTGAGGAGGCGGGCTTAGGTTGTACTCAAAATAGAACACTTGTGAAAAATGGTATGTTACGAATTCAGAGGGAGCTGTCACCAGGCTGGTGGATGTCCAACTCATTTCTTCCTGATTGTAGATTTTTTTTTTTTTTTAGGGAATGGCAAAAGCCATATTAGAAAGAAATTTGCTAATAGCAGGAGTGTGTGCTAACATAGATCTTCAGAAGATTTAAAAATCTTACTTAACGCCTTCATAAATCCAAAGCATGGAAGTATGAACAAAAGTTTTATGAAGAGCTGCTGATTCCAGCTACCGTTCTTTTTTCAAGTCTCTTATGTTAACAAGATACCTGTGTTGTTCCATTTACATTACAAATTAGAAGAAAGTTAATATGAGACAGACCCTTGCTTGCTTAAATGGCAAGAGTAAGGGCAAGAGCAAAGCCAGTTGATGAGTTAAGTTGTTCATTATTGCCTGCATTTACTCATTCAATCATTCATTTATTCAACACTGAAAGATTACGTTTTGTTGGGCCAGACCCCATGCCCAGTGCCATATAAATAAAGCTTTGTGGGGTGAGATAAGGAAAAATTAAAATAAGTACTATATGACAAGCAAAATAACGGAAGGAGATGTAAGAGAAGTACAGAGAAAAGATGGCTTAATTCTACTTGGGAGAAGTTACTCAAAGGAGATCTCTGGGAACTTCAGCTGGTATTAAAGAATGAAGATGTTTTTCATTGGGTTTTAGAGGGAAGGAAGGATGATTCTAGGCAGAGACAAGAGCAAGCCCAAGTGCACAGAGACATGATTCAGCACGGCACATTTATGAAATTTCAACTGTCACTGGAGCACAGTTTGCAAGGCAGAAAGCAGTAATAGATGAGGCTAGAATTTCAGATAATATCCAGATGGAAGTCAAAGTTATTTTTGAAGCAATGGAAGCTGTGGAAGGGTTTCAAGTAGGGTGTGCTCCGGTCAGATTTTCATTTAGAGGGATCAGTCTGGTGACAATCTTGGGGTTGGATGAGAAGGAGAAGCAGCAGAGAGTTAATCAGCAATAATCCCTGTGAGAGAGGGTGGGGCCCAAGCTAAGGCTGGGGCAGTGGGGATGGGGAGAATATGTATTCAGTAAATATTTGGGGGTAGCATCAGCGGTTTCTAGCAGCAAATGGATGGTAACATAGGTAAAGGCAGAAAGTTGGGGTACCTGTAGCAGTCTCAGTTGCTGGCTTATATTCATTATAGTAGGCCAGACTAGTGCTTCTCTCACAGTTGTAGGGAGCTTTTACTTTCAATTTCTGATCACAGTCACTGCCCATGTGTATGTCACTTGTGCCATATGCAACTCACTACAGGAGTTCATCAGTACCCAACCCGGTTATACCCTGCTCAACAAGATGAATCCACTCATGATACTTAGGTATAATGGTAGTATCAAATTATTATAAAAGCTTCTTAATGCTTACTCTCAAATTACTATGCTTCTCTTGTTGTGGACTAGTAATAAATTGTTCATGAATCAGCACCAATTCATGAACTACACTTTGAGTAGCTAGATTGTGATTAAAAAATCCACTTAAAATCGTCCCCAAATCTCAATGGCTTAACACAAGGGAAGTCTGTTCCTCGCTCACTGTTCACTTAACTGTCTGCACCTGGTTGATAAGTGGTTCTCCTCCACATGGTGACTCAGAGACCCAGGCTCCTTGCACATTCTGGTCCACCATCCTCTAGGGCCTTCTCTCGGACTAGATCCATCTGCCAAGAAAGAAAACAACATGGAGGAGAAACATCCACTTCTTAAAAACTGTGGCCCAGAATGGCTCATACCACTTCCACTCACACTCCGTGGGTTAGAACTCAGTTGCATGGCCACACCTAATTGCAAAGGAGACTGGGAAAGGTAGTCCAGTATTATACCCAGGACGAAGAGGAAGTGAACTGGGAGGTTGGGAGACAGTCCACAGACTCTGACACGTGAATATTCTAGATGATACTCATAATGATGCTGCTAACAAACCACATAATGCCTTCCAGAAAATATGCTCAGCTTGGGGTGTGGTGAAGCCAAAGACAGACTCCTCAGAGGAGCTCAAGGCTTCCCCACAGTCCTGAGCTTCAACCTATCTCACAGCTTTGTTTGGATTAGGGACAGTTCAGATACCAGCGGAGGCACATCTATGGCTTCTGCGCAAGGCATATGTGCACGGTTAATTAAATATGCAAGGGGTGCCACATGCATATGCATGGACACTCAGAGGTTGTTTATTACCTTTGATTTCAAAATATATGCTTGAGGCTGGCATATTGTGAATGACTGGTTCACACTGTGCAGGAATAGATGCCCTTTAAGCCCAAATATTTACAATCTTCATATCTCTACATACGGCTTTTATCTTGGCTTCATTTGGCAGTCTTGCGAGTCAAAAGCATACCTTTTGGGGTAGGTCAAGTTGATTGTTTTTACAAGACAGACTAGGGGCTTGGAGAGAGAAACAAGATCATTTACAGCAAAGGCTGAGCCTCTAAAACGTTCAATGTGGATTTAGACTTATTTGTTCCCCACTTATTCACTGACTAAATAGCCTCTTGGTTCATTAGTTTTAAGTACTACAGCTAAATCATTCACATTTCACAGAAAATGTAATGAGTATGATTTAAAATGTCACCCAAATAAAGAAATGTAAAAATATCACCACCACTCTCTGAGTCCTCTTTATTGCTTTCCCCAATTCAACTACTAGTTTACTACCTTTCCACTTTCTCTGCATTTCCCTAAAAAATGGAATTGAGGCAAACATTTTTAAGGATCATTGGGTTAAATTCCATACACTTAAGGAAAAGGTTGCCACCCTCTTCAGAAAACACCTCCTTGTGCCACTATGTGACAAGGCATCAAATATTTTAATACAATTGCTAAGAAGACAGTAGTCTTGGGCCTGGCACAGTGGTTCATGCCTGTAATCCCAGCATTTTGGGAGGCCGAGGTGGGTGCATCACTTGAGCTCAGGAGTTCGAGACCAGCCTCGGCAAAAAAGTGAAACCCCATCTCTACAAAAAAAAACAAAACAATTAGCCAGGCATGGTGGTGCATGCCTGAAATCCCAGCAACTCAGGAGGCTAATGTGGGAGGATGGCTTAAGCCCGGGAGGCAGAGGTTGCAGTGAACCAAGATTGTGCCACTGCACTCCAGCCTGGGTGAGAGAGCCAGACCCTGTCTCAAAAAAAGAAGAAGAAGAAGAAGAAGAAGAAGGAAGAAGAAGAAGAAGAAGAAGAAGAAGAAGAAGAAGAAGAAGAAGAAGAAGAAGAAGAAGAAGAAGAGAAGAAGAAGGAAGAAGAAGAAGAAGAGAAGAAGAAGAAGAAGAAGGAGGAAGAAGAAGAAGAAGAAGAAGAAGAAGAGGAAGAAGAGGAAGAAGAAAAGAAGAGGAAGAAGAGGAAGAAGAGGAGGAAGAAGAAGAAGAAGAAGAAGAAGAAAAGAAGAAGAAGAAGAGGAAGAGGAAGAGGAGGAAGAGGAGGAAGAGGAGGAAGAGGAGGAAGAGGAGGAAGAGGAAGAGGAGGAAGAGGAGGAAGAGGAAGAGGAAGAAGAAGAAGAAGAAGAAGAAGAAGAAGAAGAAGAAGAAGAAGAAGACAGTAGTCTGTTGTGGCGGTGTGGAGTTGGAATCCCTAGCTGAGCTTCTCCATCTTCGAGCTCTGTGACCTGGGCAAGTGACTGAATCTGAGCCTGGGCTTCCTCTTCTGTGAGATTTGGGCAACCCCACAGGGTTGTTATCTTCAGTCACATGTGACACCAGAGCCAGGCATGTAGCACACACTCAATGAATGGTGGGTCTACTATTGTGGTGGTGGTTTGTGCCCATCAGAGAGAGACTTTAGAGGCCAAACTCCACTCTTCAATCAGTAAGCATCACAGGGATCTACCATTGTCCACTGTCTCCCAGCCTCTATTCTGGGAATGACAGGGAGGAAGCAGAGCATGGTTACTGCCTTGCTGCATGGCAGGGTGAATCCATTTGCTGGGGATGCAATAGCAAAGCACTACAAACTGGGTGGCTTAAAACAACAGAAACAGTCTCTCACAGTCCTGGGGGCAAGAAGTCGGAAATGAAGCTGTTGGCAGGGTTGGTTCATATTAGAGATTGTGAGGGAGAATCTGCTTCCTTCTCACCCACCTTCTGGGGGTTGCTGGCAGTCCATGGCATTCCTTGGTAGGTATGTGGCTGCATCACCCCAATCTCTGCAGCTGTCTTCACATGGTCTTCTTCCTTGTGCATGACTGTGTCTGCTTTCTCTTCTTTTAAGAACATCTGTCATTGAATTCAATCTCACATTCTAATCTGTTGTGAATTGATATGGTTTGGCTGTGTCCCCACCCAAATCTCATGTTGAGCTGTAGTTCCCATAATCCCCATATGTTGTGGCAGAGGCCCAGTGGGAGGTGATTGAATCATGGGGGCAGTTACCTCCATGCTGTATTCATGATAGTGTGTGAGTTCTCATGAGATCTAATGGTTGTATTTGGGGCTTTCCCCTACTTCGCTCTGCACTTCTCCTTGCTGCTGTCATGTGAAGAGGGACATGTTTGTTTCCCCTTCTGCAGTGATTGTAAGTTTCCTAAGGCTTCCCCAGCCATGCAGAACTGTGAGTCAATTAAACCTCTTTCCTTTATAAATTACCCAGTCTCAGGTATGCCTTTGTTAGCAGCGTGAGAATGGACTAATACATGAATTCATCTTAACCTGATTACATCTGCAAAGACTTTCCAAATAAGGTCACACTCATGGGTCTGGGAGTTAGTACTTCAACATATCTTTGGGGACCATCATTCAAACCATAACACAAAGGACAGCAAAGAAGCAGCCATTCTTTCTCTTTGTGGTGTTTGACTTCCACAGTGCCCTGGAATCCCTTTCACCCATTGCCTTGGCAAAGGTGTAGCAGGGACAAGAAAGCATTTCCCAGAGAGAATCTAAGGTCAGTTAACCTGCACTAAGCATCACTTGGGCCACTTCCCCGTTGAAATCAGAGCAGTGCCTGGAAGCATCTTGGATGAAAGCTCATTTCCCTCTTTTTCCCTTGACAAGTTTCAGAGAGGAACCTAGTGTTGTCCACGGCTGTCTCCATATCTTCTTCCCTTTGTGCTCCGTCTCACCTCCTGCACTGAGGGATAGTGGCAGGGACGTAGAAATTTTTCTCCAAGAAATATACTCTCTACTTCCAACACTGCCTCATGCAGCTAGCAGGAAGTTCTAGAACTCAATAATACGTGATCTTTCTTGAAACCTGTCTAACTATCCGCATTAATAATCTGGCTTGAGATCAGAATGGGTAAGAGTTGGTGGTGGTCATCAACACTCCAAGGTTAGCACACATTGCCACAATTCAATTCCTATATTTTCTTTTAGGTCGTTAGACTCACCTATGTGGAAAGAAAGACATACATGACATGAAACATAAAATTATTTGCATGCATGAATAAAACATCATTTAAAAGTAATCAAATTGCTTTAGTAAAGTTTTTTGATTCTGAATTGTGAGCACATTGCAAGCAATTGTGAGGGCCTGGGATAGAGAACAGGTGCCTGCAGCAGCTGTTTAAATTTTGTCCAAATCAGCAATGACCCCAAAGCCTGTGGCAATTATCCTCCCTGACAAGTTGTCTTAAAAGATATGAAAATAAGGGGCTCACCTTCCCAAATTCATCTTAGATACCCATTTGCATTGTTGTTAACATGATGTTTTCTTACAGATAATCAAAGGGAAGTAGGCCATGGTGTCTGCATTAGTGACTTGTTGAACTATTACTGGTTTATTCAGCCTTTCTTTGTAATTATGAGGTGAGAATAAAAGGTGATAAAGCACAGGTTTTTCTGGAAACAGCAATGCACTTATATTTCCCATTCGTATCTTACTGGGCTCTTTTAAATTGTTCAGAGCCCTCAAGAGGGGCCACATTCACACAAAAACATTCGGACCAAATGAAGACATAAACAATGCACTTTCTCTAATCGTTGAACCCAGTTAGACAACATCTGATGTAAAGCACAAGAATGAAGTCAGCCTGCAGAGGATTTAAGCTGCCAGGCAGCACAGCTGCAGGTCAAGCTCGCTTCAAAGGTCAGACTCAAAGACCAACAAAAGACCAACAGGTGTGTAAAGTCTGGTAGGTTAAAGGTCTTGCTTGCCCTAGATATAGCATGGGGGAACAAGAGAGCCAAAGGTTTTGTTGAGACTTGTTAACTACAACAATAAGAGTTAAAAGTTGAGTTTGGATGTTGCTGTACTTAGCTTATTCAAAGAAGTGTCTTACTTAGTTTTCTCTACCACTCAGAGATGTTTAAGATAATAGTAATAAGGCTATTATCTTAAAAGGCAGGTACCAACATGGATTCCAAGCAAAAAGAAATTATATCAGTGAAAAATATAGCAATTATAACTTACTTTAGATTGTTAGATATATTCTATTTTTATGCCAATATGAAATGCCCAAAGGAAGAATACGAAATCCATGTTATTTTAGTTATACAGAAAGCTAGTCTATTGTTGCTGTTATTGTTTTTGTATGATAAAACTTATAAGAAAATGAAACTATGATTTTTATAAGAACAAATAATAAAACATCTAGAAGCACAAAATATTTCCCCTTTAAAAAGTATTATTTGAAAGTAAAAGACTGGAACTGTTGTCTTTAAACTGAGTTGTTTCCTTGTTTGGTCTGATATATCTGAAATTTACAGCTTTATCCTAAGGTGGAATTGACTAAAATTTAGCATGTAGAGAAAGTATAAAGATCTTTAAATAAACATTTAAAATCTAGGCACAACCACGCATGGTGGCTCACGCCTATAATCTCAGCACTTTGGGAGGCCAAGTCAGGTGGATCACTTGAGGTCAGGGGTTCGAGACCAGCCTGGCCAACGTGGAGAAACCCCGTCTCTACTAAAAATACAAAAATTAGCAGGGCGTGGTGGTGTGTGCCTGTAATCTCAGCTACACAGGAGGCTGAGGCAGGAGAATCACTTGAACCCGGGAGGTGGAGGTTGCAGTGAGCCGAGATGGTGCCACTGCACTTCAGCCTGGGTGACAGAGCAAGACTCCATCTCTAAATAAATAAATAAATAAAACCTAGGCACTGAGAAGTTTACCAAAACATATATATTTGTTGTAACAAATACATATAGATAGATAGTTAAGTGGTAGCTAATGAGGGGGAAGCCTTCTAAGGTGAGTTTTAGCTATGTTAATTCATCATTGACTTCAACCTAACATGTGATATATAAGGATGAATTCTTTCCATTTATTTTATTCACCAAGAGAATGCTTTCCACTGTGGGACTGAATGGGTGGCAGATTATCTTTCTTTGGCAGCCATAAAATGCCAAATAGTACTTGTGGTAAAAGTATCCAGATCACAGAAGCATACTGCATGGTCATTTCCATTTTTCTTTTCTGTTTTGTAAATGGAAAATTACAGACTTGATGGTCCATGATTCCGCTGACCTCCACCCCACAGATGCTCTGCCAGATGTCTGGGAAAGCGCATGATAAACTACTTGCTACCCCGGGGATGGCATCATTCTGATGTTCGGTGTTTTCCTTTGCTTTTGGCCCTGGGTCTCTGGAGCGTGGGCCAAGGGATCTGATCCCAGCACGATCCTATTTCAACCCCTGGATGCTGGGAGTGTCCCAGCTAGAGGTTTTGTGAATTACCATACCAGATGGTGAGGGTCACGGTTCTCCAACTGGGGCTGAGTTTTATTACTGCTAAATTAAAAACAGTGATTGACACAATAGGAGCTAACAAGAGATTTTCCCCTTCATTCTGGCCACTGTTAATTCTAGCGTCTGTAGACATTAATTTCCTTAAATTAATTAGAATATTTAGTTATGCAGGGTGGCAAGGGGGGATGGTGGGGTGGGGGGGCAGCAACAATGATAGAATTTTGTTGACTTCTTTGAGTCCTGGTAAGAAAACCCAGTAAGAACACACTCTTATTGTGTCCTGAAAACTGATTAGGTATCATGCTCCCTAAAGAAACAAGACCCTTCATGCTAATTTCTGTCTTACTGCTTCCTCAGGTTAAGAACATCGGGTTAATGAAGTATTGTGTGATGGCAATCATTTGTTGGAAAAGTACCAGCCTGATTTGGTGGAGGTAGGAGGAGTGAGGGCAGGAACAGGGTGTTGATCCCAATATGATGCCAGAGGTTTATTTATGAACCACTTAGACTGTACCTGTCTAATTAAAGACAGATTTTCTCATTTTGGGGGTAGAGCCAGGAGTAGGTATACCTTCTGCTATGCTGCTAAGGTTATGCTCAGAGTGGGCTTGTAATCATGAGGTACGAGTGAAACACAGTAAACTTAAATGCCACTTTCCATTAGATTGCTAGCAAAAAATGACTAGAGGTTCTGTGTTTCACTGCTCCCGGGGGAGTACTGAGCATGCGAGAGGTTGGGGGCATATCCACAAAGCCTGCAGGCAGATCTAGGGGACAAGCTGCACTACCACAAATCTGGGCGGGTACCTCTCAGCAGCAACTCCAGCTGGGCGACTATGTTGTCACCTCAGTCAGCCCTGGAGAGATGGCCACCATGTTCTATTTTTGGAGTCACGTGTCATTGAGAATCCCCAAGCACGAGCAATCCCCTAGTTTTTTCAAAATATATAGCTACACACCAAAAACATTCTTCAGGTTTTAATGTATTACTTGCAACTAAATTCAAACTGCTGCCCTAAATTCGAGTTGGATGGGCCAGCGTGATATTTTAGGCTCACCAGCTGGCTCAGGGTAGTCTGCAAACCAAAGGAAGGCAGGCTTGTTACAAAGCAGCATTATTTGAGAAAAAAGACAGACCCCCAAAGTGCTAGGATTCTCATAGAGTTAATATCCAAAGTTTCCAGAGTTTCGATGGACATTCCAAGATTCCTGGGTTTCATGGCAAAACCAAATGAGGGTATACTTTCCCCAGCTGTTCATTCTTGAGTACAACCTAAAAATGGCATCATACAGCCAAGCCTCGCCCACTTCAGCCTGAGAGGCATAAAATCACTTCCTGATCAAACCTGTATTAATTCAGAAGCTTCTAGATTATTGAATATCAAGCTTGTCCAACCCACGACCCACAGGCCACATGCTGCTAAGGATGGTTTTGAATGTGGCCAAACACAAATTCGTAAACCTTCTTAAAACATTATGGATGTTTTTTGCAATTCTTTTTTTTAGCTCATCAGCTATTGTTAGTGTTGCTGTTTTATGTGTGGCCCAAGACAATTCTTCTTCCAGTGTGGACCAGGGAAGCAAAAAGGCTGGACATGCCTGCTGTATTTTTATATATTTATATATATAGATAAATTATATGAATTTTATATATATATATATCTATATATATAATATATCTATATATATATAGTGGGTGCTTAATGCCTGAATCCCTTCTCTGGAGACTGAAGGAAGCGGTAGGATAACCTGGAGAGAATTCCAGGAGTAGCAGATATGGGTTCTTCCACTGGCCCAGAACTTGTCATATGATCTTAGGCAAATGTCTTAAAATCTCTGGGCCTACTTTCTCAGTCTGTACAGTGAAAAATTACATCTGGGTCTCTTAAGAACTGACTCATCTCTAAAACTCTAGGAATATCTCATTGTACTATAGCCCAGAAAAATCGTTTAGCATTCATTTTCAAATCCTATATCTAGAAACATGCTTGAGGCCCCTTTATGTGTTGAGTCAATATTTGCCTAGGAGAAGTTCCACAGTAATATTTTAGAGGGATAGTGACTTAACGCGGAAATGTAGAACTCTTAAGTGTTTCATCACATTACTGTTGTCTTTCACAAGACTGTTTCTTCTTCTTACTTTTACTCTTGAACATTAAAATGTTGTTAAAGATTGTGTCAGCCACGAGGCCACAAGTATGAAGCAGAGTGGAGTTTGCCTGCATGAGAATGGGTTAATGTCACCCCTCTAAAGTGGGTTGTTTTAATCTCTCCACAATTTACAAATAAATTTTGTATTTTACCTAAGCTAGTAGAAAGTAACCATTTTTAATCAGTAATGGGAGTAAAAGTGTACGTGTGTATGTTTATGCACATATGCAAATATATATGTATATACAAAGGCCATGCTAATTATCATCACAAGTTAAAGTACCGTATTCCACCTCAATAATGCTTTAAAAATATAAGGCAAAACATATTTATTTTAAAAAAGCTTTAATGGGAAACAGTTCTAAAACCACAAGATATATTCAAGACTACATACTTTTCTTAAATCTCTTCTACCTATCTCATTTCAGACTTCAGTAAACCAGCTCCTTTTTTTTTTTTTTTTTTTGTTTTGTTTTGAGACAGAGTTTTGCTCTTGTTGCCCAGTCTGGATGGAGTGCAATGGCACGATCTCGGCTCACTGCAACCTCCACCTCCCGGGTTCAGGCAATTCTCCTGCCTCAGACTCCTGAGTAGCTGGGATTACAGGCATGCACCACCAAGCGCGGAAAATTTTGTATTTTTTTTTTTAGTAGACATGGGGTTTCTCCATGTTAGCCAGATTGGTCTCGAACTCCCTACCTCAGGTGATCCACCTGCCTCGGCCTCCCAAAGTGCTGGGATTACAGGTGTGAGCCACCACGCCCAGCCGTAAGCCAGCTTTTCTTTTACTGGTCTTATAGCTTGAAAAATGATTTTGGCTTAAGTTTTCTGGGAGCTTCTGTCCTGAGAAGTTTCCCTACAGTCTCAATATCATGATGACAGTCTCGCATTGAAGAAGACTGCTCTAAGCAAGTCTTGATTCAGAGAACTAGGGATTCTCCTTCCCCAATTCCACACAACACCAGATGTTTTTCAGGGGTGTGTGTGCGTGTGTGCGTGCGTGCGTGCGTGCGTGTTTTCCCTCTCTTGTTTTAGCTTAACCAAACAAAAGCAGCAATGCCAACTATTTACTTACCATTCCAACATACCTAAGTATGGTACAATAAAAATATTTTAACCTGTTTTCTCACAGTAGCTCTAATACCAATCTTCAAGTTATATTCAGCATCTGCCACAAGTCACATTTGTTTTTGATATAGCTTGAATTTACTCATGTGTCTATGAAATGGAATCATTTTTAGCATTTATAGTGTATCATTTACCTGCTGTACAAATATTTTTGCAGCTTTTTGTATGTGCCAGCTACTTTTCTGAGCACTGGGTATCCAAAAAGCAAAACCAAAACCAAATATAAATATATTGTGCTAAAGGTTGTCACAAGTCAGTTGTGCAGTAGAGGTAACCTGACTCCCTGAGGCTCACTTTGCAAGTGCTAAAATTGTCACACAGTTCCCCGTTATGTCTGAATCAATACCAATCCTTGTGACTAGGGCAGCTGGTCAAATCATATATTCACTGCTCTACAGTATTAGAAATGCATCTGTCTTTGGTGAAGACTAGCCTATCATTCTTGTGCCATTGGATATCACCCCCATGCTTGTTGTCCTGAACAGTGTCCTAATGGAACAGCAAGACTGTGCCCTTCCCCTCCTGACAGATGTCATCCAAACAAACAAAGAAGTTGCCTTCAAAGACCTGGATGTGGCCATTCTCTTGGGCTCTGTGCCAAGAGAGGAAAGATTTACTGAAAATGTAAAAATCATCAAATGGCAGGGTGCAGCCTTGGAGAAATATGACAAGAAGTTCGTTAAGGTTATTGTTATGGGAAACCCAGCCAATATCAACTGCCTGACTGCCTCCAAGTTGGTTCCATCCATCTTCAATGAGAACTTCAGTTGCTTGACTTGTTTGGATCACAACCAAACTCAAGTTCAAATTACTCTTAAACTTGGTGTGACTGCTGACAATGTAAAGAATATTACATATCTGGGGAAACCATTCCTTCACTCAGTATCCAGATGTCAACCAAGCCAAGACGAAATTGCAAGCAAAGGAAGTTGTTTATGAAGCTCTGAAACATGACAGCTGGCCCCAGGGAGAATTCATGGCTGTGCAGCAACATGGTGCTGCTGTCATCGAGGCTCAAAAACCATCCAGGACAATGTCCACTACAAGAGCCATCTCCAACCACCTCAGAGACATCTGGCTTGGAACCCCATAGGGAGAGTCTGTGTCCAGTGGGGTTATCTCTAATAGTGACTCCTATGGTATTCCCAGTCATCGTTCTACTCATTCTCTGTCGTATTCAAGAATAAGACCTGGAAATTTGTTGAAGCTCTCTCCATTAATGATTCCTCATGTAAGAAGATGGATCTTACTGCAAAGGAACTGGCAGGGAAGAAAAAGAAACTGCTTTAGAATTGCTTTCCTCTGTCTGACTATAAATCATTTTGATGTTGCTAAATGCCCTAAAGCTGAAGAATCTAAATGTCGTCTTTGACACTAGTACTAAATAATAATACTGCTATGTGTAAATTACTCGTGAAAAACAACATGTTTTGAAGATTATTTGCTTCTCAGTACAGACTTGTGAGTGACAGTTTATTATCATGCCGTTAATCCTGCATTCTAAATAAAAATATATATTCAAATAAAAAACAATAAAGGCAGTCACAGGTTCCACTCTCTCTGATAGACACTCGTTCCATCTAGATTTTGCTTCTTCTCATTCCCTTCAGAAATAGATCCTAAAATGTATAGAATCCAAGAAATGTGTGAGGTTCCATCCACATCTTCTTACCAGGCCAAGCTACTTTAAAAATATGCACAGTGTTTGTGTGTGCATAAGTAAGATCAAAATTTATCACCATGATTCCAATGTGCAAAAAAATGAAAGATTTTCTTTCATTGACCTTATCTTGCTCTTGTTTTCTAAAATGCTTTATTTTTGTCAACTGAAAAGTAACAAATTTTTTTAACACGCTGTGCAGAGTTAACATGGCAGGCCTGAGATTGCTATCTTTAGAAAGGCCTGCTTGTGAGGTTGGCCCTTGGCTGGTGTCCAGGAATTTGGACTTGGGGAGGGTTCCCACCATTCCCAGAACTGATAAGAAGGACTCACTGTGCCTAAACTGTACAAACAATATGGTTTCTGCCAAACAATCTCTTTCCTTCTGGGCGTCTGGAATTTGGGTATGTGCTGGGCAGCGGTGCCTAGTGACCAGCCCCAAATAAAAACCATAAGTCCTAATCCTCTATTGAGCTTCCCTAGTAAACAACACTTCAGACCTGAGGTCACAACTTATTGCTGGAGGAATTAAGTGTGTCCTGTGTGATTCTGGTGGGAAAGCCTCCTTAGAAGCTTGTGTCTGACTTCCCTGGACTTCGCCCCATGCGTCTTTTCCCTTTGCTGTTTGTGCCTGGCATCCTCCTGCTGTAATAAATCTTAGTCATGGGTATGACTCTATGTTGAGTCCTGTGAGTCCCCCTGGTAAATCCCTGAACCTGGAGGTGGTCTTGGGAGCCCTGGACACATATTAATTATTGAGGTGTCCTATGCACCGAGCACTTTTCTAGGAGCTGAGGATATAGCAGTGAGCAAAACAAAAGTCCCTGCCCCATGGATTTTACATGCCTGGGGGGTGAGAGGGTGGAGGAGGAGAGGAAGGAGACAGCCCATATGAAATAGACAAGTAAATTGTGTAATGTGCCTGACGATGAGAAGTGCTGTGGAGGAAAATAAAGCCGGAAAGGAGGTAGGCAATGCTGGATTTGAGGCCTGCCACTTTAAACAGGGGAGTCATAGAAGGCTTTGAGTTAAGATCAGTAGGAGAAGGGGTAGGAATATCTGGGAACAAGGCTTTCTAAGCAAAGGGAACAGCTGGTGCTACAGGCCCTGAGCTGCAAGCATGTTCAGTTCAGGGACAGCAAGGAGGCCAGTGTGGCTGCAGGGCAGGGAGCCACAGGCCAGAGGGATAGAATATGAGACTCAAGAGTACAGAGGGCTGGATCAGGTGGGCCATTGCCAGCTTTCTGGCTTTTATTCTGAGCGAGGCAGGAAGTCATTAGAGGGCTGTGAGCAGAGAAGTGACATTAAAAGATTTGTTTTTAAAAGTATCACTGTGGCTATTGGTGGAGAATACATTCTAGGGTGGCAAAAGCAGAAATAGGAAGGACAGTCAGGGGATTATTGTAATAACCTGGGACTCATGGGTGAATTAGATATGTGATGGGGGAAAAAGAGGGGAGTCGATAATGATTCCAGGGCTTTGAGCCTGAGCACTTGATGAAGTTGCAGTTTACTTTGGGGAAACTGAGGAAGCAGCAGTCTTGAAGGGGAAGGGGAAGACAGAAATTGGATTTTGGATTTTCATTTTTTTTTTTAAGAGATGGAGTCTCATGCTGTCACCCTGCTGGAGGAGTGCTGTGGCATAATGTTGGTTTATTGCAGCCTCGAACACCACTTGGACTCAAGCAATCCTCCCACCTGAGCCTCCCAAGTATCTGGGACTACATGCACGCACCACCACACCTGGCTAATTTTTGTATTTTTTGTAGAGACAAGGTCTCCTTATGTTGCCCAGGCTGGTCTCGAACTACTGGGCTCCAGCAATCTTCCCGCCTCAGCCTTCCAAAGTGCTAGGATTACAGGCATGAGCCACTGCTCCCAGCATGGAAATTTGGATTTTAGATGTGTTAACTTTGAGATGCTTAACAGTCTAGTAAAACCGTACAGTTGATATTTCTATTTTGTAGATGAGGAAACTGAGGCACAGAGAGGTTAAATGATTTGCTCAGGGCCACACATCTGAGAAGGTTTCACATCCTCAGTCTGGTTCCAGCATGTATTCTCTCAAGCCCTCCACTACACTGGACTTGCAATCTTCTAAGCTAAAATGACTTCCCATGATGCAATAATAGATATACATTAATAACAAATATGTAAATGTTATTCAAATAAGATTAACACAATATAATAAATAACAAATACTTATTTGTAATTATTATTATTATTATTATTATTATTATTATTATTTTGAGACGGAGGTTCACTCCTTGTTGCCCACGCTGGAGTGCAATGGCATGGTCTCGTCTCACTGCAACCTCCGCCTCCTGGGTTCAAGCGATTCTCCTGCCTCAGCCTCCCAAGTAGCTGGGATGACAGGCATGCACCACCATGCCCAGCTAATATTTGTATTTTTAGTAGAGATGGGATTTCTCCATGTTGGTCAGGCTGGTCTCGAACTCTCGACCTCAGGTGATCCGCCTGCGTCAGCCTCCCAAAGTGCTGGGATTACAGGTGTGAGCCACCGTGCCTGGCCAAACTCCTGGTTTTTAAGACAGATAGATAGGTTCATGGATGGATGGGTGGATGGATCGATGGATGGCAGGCAGATATTGATAGAGATAAGCATGTGTGTGGATGAGTCATGAGTAATCCCTGCTGCCCAGTCTTTTCATGACTGAAGGATTTATTATCAAAAATGCTGGAAACATTGTTGACTAACAAGTCTCAGCTGCCAGCCCTTTTTGGAATTGCCTTAGCTAAAGAGAGCCACCTTGCCCGACTTCATGAACCCTTCCTGGGGAGGCTCATATTCAATGACTGATTGACTCAGGGGTATGAAGGCCTGAATCCCTCATCCCAACTCAGAACTCTAAAGGAACATCCAGCATCAGAGCTCCCATGGGGTCAACTGAGGTCTTTGTGGAGACCGCATCACAGCCTATCTTCTCCCTGTGCCCAATCCTGCTTCCTTCCCTTGCATTCCATAGTAGTTCATCCCTAGAGCGCTCCCTAACAAACGTTCTGCTCACTTATTTCTGTCTGCATTCAGTTCTCAGGGAACCCTTCCTGTAAACTGCATGTGTGAGTGCACACACACACACACACACACACACTCACATCCTAGCTCTCTGCTGAAAGGGCCTAGAAGCAATGACACTCCTGTAGCAATGAGTACTCCTAGTGCTCAAATATTAGTTTCTAAACATTATTCCCAATTAGCAGGGTATGGTGGCACATACCTGTTGTCACGGCCACTCAGAGGGCTGAGGTGGTAGAACCACTTGAGCCTGGGAGGTTGAGGCTGCAGTGGGCCGAGTTCACATGGCTGCAGTCCAGCCTGGGCAACAGGGTGAGAGACCCTGTCTCAAAAACAAAACAAAACAACAATTATTCTCCGCTAAAAGGAACAAGGGGTTCTTGGAGAAATGGCTGATTCCAGAGTTGGAAAAGAGAAAATAAAAAATGATCCTGAAACATCTTGAACCAGAAAGTAAAGAAGTGTTCAAAGAAGGATGGGGCCATGTCAAAAGAACACAGGAAATAGCTTGAAGGGTTCTCACTGGCCAAATCTTGTGCAATTTGAGTGTCAAAATAATGACAGTAACAAATTATAGCTCACTGAATAACATAAGAATCCATGAGTCTATACAGTGATAAGTAAATAAATGAATAAATAAACGAATAAATCAATGAGAAGGAAAAGCTCTTCACTGTAGTAGAACACCAGCAAAAAATCTAGAAGAAATGAAGTGATAGTCACCACTCGACAAACCTCATCGTCATGGTTGACTTGGACAAGAATTATCAACGGATGTTAAAAACTACTGGGTGAGAGTTTTGGTGAGGAATGGAATATAATCTATACTACATAATCTCAAAGTATCTCCCCACAAAGTACTTATCAGTTACAAGGGGTGAGGGGAAATGCAGAGGGGAATAATACCCTTACTGCAGGGAAACTGGGTAGACAGCATCTTAACTTAGTGATCAAAGTTAACATCACCCATAATGGAATAAATTTACATCCTGCCTCCTGATATCATGCACTGAGAATACAACATCTCTTTTGTGGTATTCCTGCCAAAAATGTATTACCTCAATCTAATCTGAGGAAACATTAAGAACACCCAATTGAGAGGCATTCTACAAAATAACTGGCCTGTATTTGTCAAAAATATCAAGGTTATCAAGGACCCACTGAGGAACCATTCCAGATTAAAGGCGACTAAAGAGATTTGGCCATGTGTGATCCTGGAGTGGACTCTGGACTGGATTTTTTTCTTTGTCTATTTTATCTTATTTTCACTATACAGGACATTATTGGGACAATTAACAAAATTTGAATAAAGTCTGTAGATCAGAAAATAATATTTTATTAGTGTTCATTTCCTGTTTTAATAAATTATACTGTGGTTATTTTAAGAGAATGTCGTTGTTCTTAGGAAATACATACTGAAGTATTTAGGAATAAGAGGGAATCATGTCTTCAATCTACTCTCAAATATTATATAAAAGTATCACATGCACACAGAAGAATAAAGCAAATGTGGCAAAATGTTAACCGTTGTGGAATCTGGATGAAGGGAATAGAGAACAACCGCTGTACAAAGAACTCTTTGTATTATTCTTGCAACTTTCTGCATGTCTGAATTATTTCAAAATAAATAAATGTTTAAAACGTATAGAGGCAATTATTTTTTATTCTGGTAGGAACAAACATTACCATCTTAACCATTTTTTGGTGTACAGCTCAGTAAGGTTAAGCATATTTCACATTGTTGTGAAACAGAGCTCCAGAACTTTTTCATCTTGCAAAACTAAAACTCTGTACCCATTAAACGACAACTCCCTATTCCCCTCCCCCAGCCCCTGGCAACCATCATTCTACTTTTTGTTTCTGTACATTTGAGTACTCTAGATACATCATGTAAGTGGAATTGTACAGTATCTTTCTTTTTGTGACTGGCTTATTTCATTTAACAAAAGTCCTCAGGATTCATCCATGTTGTAGCATGTGATGAGATTTCCTTCATTTTTAAGGCTGAATAATATTCCATTGTAGACTACACTTTCTTTATCCATTCACCTGTAGATGGGCATCTGGGTTGCATTCACCCCCTTTGAATATCTTACTTGATTGTCTACAAAATTGAAGATATTCACCACTAGGGAAAAAATAAAGTGCTAGAGAAAAAAATGTTTCAAAGTTTGGGGATGTATATTCACTAAGATGAAAAATTTAAATAAGCTGAATCAGAAAACTAAATAAGTATGCTAGACCAAATTCTCAGTATTCTACTGCTATACATAGATGCTATTTCAGAGTATATGTTATATAGGCTCTGGTGCAATATCAAAAATATTTTTAAATATTGTAATTGGAAAAGTAGAAGATAGTTATACCTACCAAATGATTACAGCTGAAGGTGACTTGCCATAGTTTAGAAATGTTGATGTATTTTTCAAAATTATTATAAAGATGATTTAGTATTTTATGTAGCTTTTTAGAATATCTTTTATTTTAACATGGCAAAGGAAATGCAGAAATGATTTTAATATACATTTCCATGCAGTCACTGCATAGATATTTTAAGAGAAGTGATACATTTAACAATTCATTTAAAATCAGGAAGGAAATATCACTAGAGTCATTATTTGAATAAGTTTTGTGCAGTTGTCATTGAAATTTAATACTTTCTATGTGTCTTTCATGTTTGTAAATCTCTAACTTTGCTGCATCTGGAGGCTGCATTGATAGTTTTATTTTTAGAAATGATTACATTAACCTGGGAGAAACTACCTTAACCAAGCAATTAAGGTTGTCAGTGTCATGTTTCCATCTTGTATCCCTTTATACGACTCAATGAGAATGTCACTTCGGCTCTGTGGGAATCTTACCCAAAACTTATACTTATTATTGAATGTTTCATGAGAAAACATCAGACAAATTCAAACTGAGGGAGAGTCTACAAAAATACCTGACCAGAACTCTTCAAAACTGTCGAGGACATGAAAAAGGGGGAAAGTCTGAGAAACTGTCACAGTTCTGGAGCGACTAAGGATAACTGACAAGTAACATAGTATCTTGGAGGGAATCCTGGAAGAGAAAAAAAACATTAGCGGTGAAACTAGTGAAATCCAAAAGATGTCTATAGCTTCCTTAATAGTAATATACAATGTCAGTTTCTTAGTTTTGATAAATGTATGGCAGTTATAAGATGTTAAATTTAGAGGAAACTGGGTGAAGGGTATATGAAAACTCTGTACTATACTAAATTTACAAATTCTTCTAAAATAAAAAATTTACTTTAACAGATTCTATTAATATAAATTTATCCATAAGATTGCTAAAATCTAACTTGCTTTGAAAGTTGAACACTTATTCACTCAAAAATATTTAAAGTGCCTCTCTGCTATGTGTCAGTTCAGAAAGGACTAAGTTAGCCCACTGAATACATTATTAAACAGAAGCACTCAGCTTATTATCAGCCCAGATGGTATCCCATTTTCTACTTTCAAGACCAGAGGGGAGAAAATTTTTGAAAGCTTTTGTTGGAAGTGGAGGAAACCAGATAATGAAACTACAGCCATAAAATAACAATCAGTGACGATTCCATTCAAACATGGAGTTTTGAAGAATATTAACTATTAAGAAGTTGGACTGATGACCTGGAAAATAACCTCTGATTGAGGAAAAAAGGCTACACTATTTAGGGCCACATATAACAATCACAAAGATAAAATCCTTTACTTCCTCTCATCTGTATAACTTTAAATTGTATTTAGAAAAGCTATATAATGTACAATTTAAGTCACAATCAGGAAGGCGGAGACTGAAAAAGGAAAGACATTCTTTTACTGAAATAAAGTGATAAAATAGGAGAAGAAAATTCCAGGACTGGCATAATTAGAAGTACATAATTTTAAAACTCTGTGCTTAATCTTAAGATCAGTATTTTTGGGGGTCGGCTGCAGTGGCTCATGCCTGTAATCGCAGCACTTTGGGAGGCCAAGGTGGGTAGATCACCTGAGGTCAGGAGTTCGAGACCAGCCTGACCAATATGGTGAAACCCCGTCTCTACTAAAAATACAAAAATTAGCCAAGCATGGTGGCAGGCGCCTGTAATCCCAGCTACTTGGGAGGCTGAGGCAGGAGGATTGCTTGAATCCAGGAGGTGGAGGTTGCAGTGAGCCGAGATCACACCACTGTATTCCAGGCTGAGTGACAGAGCGAGATTCTGTCTCAAGAGAAAAAAAAAAGAAAGCCAATATTTTTAGCTCAAAGAAATCATTTACCATAAGCCAATTTTGCTAATACCTGAGAATACTTTTGTTGTTGTTTTTAAGGTAAAAGTCTAACTAAGCCCACCAATAATGAAATTGCCAAAGTATGTTTAGTGACTTTTTAGTGGTTAGACAGTAAAATTAAATATCATGTAGAAATAACCTCCTATTTAGACCTGTAGTCTATACTTGATCATCTACAGCTATCTACATTGAGTTACATGTTCCATTCATAATCTAGAAATTTTCTTCTGCTGTTCAGCTACTATATTACCTACTTGGATTATATTGGTAGCCAGGACTCTGCTAAATATGTGGCTACCTTGTGAGACAGGCTTACCCTGTGAGAGACCAAGATAGAGGGTTATTTAGGACAGTTGTACCCAATTCACTACAAAAATAAATCAGGTCCAACAACGATGATGAAAACATGGCCCAGGTTAAATATTTTCTCATATATTCAACAAAAAATAAAGGGAAAAATATAAATTTGAAACCAATAGAATTAAACTCCAAATGAAATAGAGTAATTCCAGTTTTGATAATGAAGTTTCAGAATACATACACTAGCCACAAATGACTTTGACCAATCATCAAGTATGCTTCACTAAAGATGAATATACTAGGGGCAAATTCTTTCTTAGGTAGCAGAAAGAAATTGTGAAAATGATTTTGTATATAACATAATCTAACAGCCTCCTGGCTGGGCTCTGTCACCCCAAGCTGGAGTGCAGTAGCGTGATCTCGGCTCACTGCAACCTCCTCCTCCTGGGTTCAAGCGATTCTCCTGCCTCAGCCTCCCGAGTAGCTAAGATTACAAGTGCCCACCACCATGCCTGGCTAAATTTTTTGTATTTTTAGTAGAGACGGGGTTTTTCCATCTTGGCCAGGCTGGTGTCAAACTCTTGACCTCAGGTGATCTGCCGGCCTCGGCCTCCCAAAGTGCTGGGATTACAGGCATGAGCCACTGTGCCCGGCCTCTTTTCATGTTTTTAAATTAGTCTCCCCTTTTTGAGGAAACTGAGGCCTAACGAGTTGTAATAATAACCAGTATTTATTGTAGGCTTTCTGGGTGTCAAGGACTGCATAATTTCATTTAATCCTCACCAAAATCAAACAAGCAAGCAAATTCCTCAAAAATTAGGAAACCAAGGTTAAGCCAGGGGAGTAACTTACACAAAATCATAAAATGGCAGAGGCAGGACTCATTCCTTTAACTACAGGACCAAGGAGCATGGCTAATTTTCTGGAAAACTACATAACAGCTTTGTTACAAAGTCTTAAGTTTTCTTCAATTTAACTGAAATCATTTTAATATCTAAAATATTATTAATTCAATATTTAGTTCTCTCCAAACTCCAATTTAGAGTTCAAGGGAGGGAAGGGGGGAAGTAAGATGGAGGAATTGCAGTTGAGCTGCTCAGCATCAGGAAGGGGAGAAGCATCTAGAGACCTGCTCTGCTCTGGAGTCGCCCCATTCTGGAATAGAAAATTGGGGCTCTGTGGTCACCTCTCTCTCTGAGCAGGCCTGGCTGTCAGGAAATGGTAGGAAAACTTGGGAATTTGGCATCAGTCAGGAAGGAAATTCGGTTTTCATTGGCGACATCTACCAAACACTTAGGGAACAATCAACGCCAATGCTATACAAATTCTTCCAGAAAATGTAAGCGAGAACACTTCCCAGCTCATTCAGTGAGGCCATCACTAGTATCCCGATACCAAAACCAGACAAAGCCATTACAAGAAAAGAACTCTACACAAATATCATTCATGAACATAGATGCAAATGTGTCTTATGTAGTATTAGATCAAATCCAGCAACACAGAAAAGAACAGTAGGACTGTTTGTATTTGCTTTAGATTTTCATTTTTAATGATTTCTATGCCTAGTGCAGTGTCTGTAATCTTTTCTCTTTTCCTTTGCCCAGCCCAGCAAAGGAGGCGGCAAAGCTTCCTTTAATAGCCAATGACATTTCCACAGCAGTCACGTGGAGTGGGCAGAAAGCACCCCATTTTCCGTATGACTCTTACAACAGTGGTCCCCAGCTTTTCTGGTGCCAGAGACCAGTTTCATGGAAGACAGTTTTTCTCTGGCTGCAGGGTGCGGGTAAGGATGGTTTAGGGATGATTCAAGTGCATTACATTTATTGTGTATTTTATGTCTATTCTTGTTACATTGTAATATATAATGAAGTAATTATACAACTTGCCATAATGTAGAATCACTAGGAGCCCTAAGCTTTTTTCCTGCAACTAGACAGTCCCATCTGGGGGTGATGAGAGACAGTGACAGGTCATCAGGCATTAGATTCTCATAAAGAGCACACAACCTAGATCCCTCGAATGCACAGTCCACAATAGGGTTCATGCTCCTATAAGAATCTAATGCCACTGCTGATCTCACAGGAGGCAGAGCTCAAGCAGTAATGCCAGCGATGAGGAGAGGCTGTAAATACAGATGAAGCTTCGCACTTGCTAGCCTGCTGCTCATCTACTGCTGTGCAGTGGGGGGTTGGTGTTGAGGATCCCTGTCTTAGAACATGTGTTGATTCTATCATTGCACTGCACAGCGCATTATTTTCACACTTGACATTATTTTACTTTCATTATGTTAGGTATGTTGATCTTCTGAACTTTAAGAAACAGAAATTTAAGTATTTCTCCCAATATTTTGCTGATGCTTTTATGTGACCCGTCTCACTTAAATCAGAGAACAGGTATTACTCCATTTTACAGCTCAGAAAATTGAGTCTCTGGTTGTGACTTGGCCTTCATATGACTTGCAAGGTCAGCATTAAAATCCACACAAGTGCACTTCTCTGGCCTATGAAGCCGAAGGTTGGCAACATTCAGCAATCACATTTGCATTTTGCCTGTGTGGACGTTGCATAAAGAACTTTGAACAAGAACTTGTAGGATGATCTTGCAATGGAATGCGAAATCTTGGAGGCTGAAAACAAATGAACTACTGATTAATTTGGTTCATAAGCTTTCAGAGAAAGCATTGTTTCACTTCTCTCTCAAAATATCTGAAACACTGTCATATTAAAACATATACTTGGTTTATTTAAAATACAGTATATACGCATCCTTCTGTATGAAAATCTCTGTGGCATGATACAGCTTGTTACTCAAGTTAAACACTTTCCTTCCTGTGTATCTGAAATTACGTGTTACTTTACAAGAACCTTGAAGAGGGTTCTGCCTTAATATTTGTCCTGGGACGTTGAGATGGTATTATTATAATTAGCAAGATTCAAAGGATTTCAGGTAATTAGAGCATATAGTGTTTTAAAAAATAAGAAGCGGCCGGGAGCGGTGGCTCACGCCTGTAATCCCAGCACTTTGGGAGGCCGAGGCTGGCCAATCACGAGGTCAGGAGATAGAGACCATCCTGGCTAACATGGTGAAACCGCGTCTCTACTAAAAATACAAAAAAAATTAGCCGGGCTCGGTGGCGGGCGCCTGTAGTCCCAGCTGCTCGGGAGGCTGAGGCAGGAGAATGGCGTGAACCCGGGAGGCGGAGCTTGCAGTGAGCCAAGATCGCGCCACTGCACTCCAGCCTGGGCAACAGAGCGAGACTCCGCCTCAAAAATACAAATAAAAATAAAAAAAATAAGAAGAAAGGATTTAGTAGAATTTAAAGAGAGGCAGAACTTCCTAATATCTTTCCAGTAACCTACTTGTCCAAATAAAAATACCTGCTAAACATCATTTGGGGAAATAACCTGAATAGTTAATTAGTATCTTGAATTGACAAAGTAGGCAGAATAATATTAATATTTATCCTTTGAAGTGCGACTAATGGAGTCTCGGTCTATTCATATTGGAGGTTCATATCAAAGTTTAATTTTCTTGGTTAGTTTAAAATATCTCATTAATATTTTAACTAATTCTAAAAAACTGCCACACTTGAATATTTTTAGGTATTATTTTTAGATAACAAAAGCCATGGCCACTCATTAAAATAAAGTTCTAAAATTAAGTAAAGTCAGATAGTTTTTTTTTTTTTTTTTTTTGAGACAGGGTCTTGCTCTGTTGCCCAGGCTGAAATACAGTGATGTGATCTTGACTCACTGCAACCTCCACCTCCCAGGTTCAAGCGATTCTCCTGCCTCAGCCTCCCGAGTAGCTGGGACTACAGGCGTGTGCCACCATCCCCGGCTAGTTTTTTGTGTTTTTAGTAAAGATGGGGTTTCACCATGTTGGCCAGGCCAGTCTCGAACTCCTGACCTCGTGATCCGCCCACCTTGGCCTCCCAAAGTGCTGGGATTACAGACATGAGCCACCGCACCTGGCCCAGATAGTTCTTTTCTTTAAAATTTCTTTTTGTAAATACCTACCAGCCAAAACAATCACGGCCAACATGAG